>NC_000018.10:15535358-15780377 GCF_000001405.40 Homo sapiens
AGCATTCTCAGAAACGTCTTTGTGATGTGTGTCCTCAACTAACAGAGTTCAACCTTTCTTATGATACAGCAGTTTGGAAACACTCTTTTTATAGAATTTGCAAGCTGATACATGGATAGCCCTAACTATTTTGTTGGAAACGGGAATATCTTCACATAAAACCTAGACAGAAGCACTCTCAGAAACTACTTTGTGATATCTGCATTGATATCAGAGAGTTGAATATTCCCTTTCTAAGGGCAGGCTTGAAAGCGTCTTTTCGTGGAATCTGCAGGAGGATATTTGGATAGCTTTGAGGGTTACGTTGGAAACGGGATTACATTTACAAAGCAGACAGCAGCATTCTCAGAAGCTTCTTTGTGATATTTGCGTTTAAGTCACAGAGTTGAACGTTCCCTTTCATAGAGCAGGTTTCAAACCCTCTTTCTGCAGTATCTGGAAGTGGACATTTCGAGCGCTTTCAGGCCCATGGTGAACAAGGAAATATCTTCCCATGCAAACTAGACAGAAGCATTCGCAGAAACTTGTTTGTGATGTGTGTCCTCAACTCACGGAGTTGAACATTTCGTTTGACAGAGCAGTTTGGAAACACGATTTTTGTAGAATCTGCAAGTGGATATTTGGATGGCTTTGTGGATTTCGTTGGAAACGGGAGTATCTTCATAGACAACCTAGACAGTAACATGCTCAGAAACTGCTTTGTGATATCTGCATTCACGTCACAGATTTGAACATTCCCTTTCATGGAGCAGGTTTGAAACACACTTTCTGTAGTATCTGGATGTGGGCACTTGGAGCGCTTGGACGCTTATGGTGAAAAAGGACATATCGTCCCATAAAAACTGGACAGAAGCATTCTCACAAACTGCTTTGTGACGTATGTCGTCAGCTAACAGAGTTGAGCATTTCTATTCACAGAGCAGTTTTGAAAGACTCTTTTGGAGTATCTGCTAGTGGAAATGTGGAGAGCTTTAAGGATTTCACTGGAAACCGGAATATCTTCAGGTAAAATCTAGACAGAGGCATTCTCAGAAACTTCTTTGTAATGTGTGTCCTCAACTAACAGTGTACAACCTATCTTTTGATACAGCACGTTGGAAACACTCTTTTTATAGAATCTGCAAGTGGATAGTTGGATAGCTCTAACGATTTCGTTGGAAACGGGAATACCTTCATATTAAATCTAGACAGTGGCACTCTCAGAAACTGCTTTGTGATATCTGCATTCAAGCCACAGAGTTGAACATTTCCCTTCCTAAAGCAGGTTTGAAACACTCTTTTTGTCGTATCTGGAAGTGGACATTTGGAGCACTTTGACGCCTTTGGTGAAAAAGGAAATGTCTTCCCATCAAAACTAGACAGAAGCATTCTAAGAAACATTTTTGGGATATATGTACTCAACTAACAGAGTTGAACCTTTCTCTTTATAGATCAGTTTTGGAAAGCTCTTTATGTGGAATCTGCAGATGGATATTCGGATAGCTCTGAGGATTTCGTTGGAGACGGGAATACATAAAGAAAGTAGACAGCAGCATTCTCAGGAGATTCTTTGTGATGTTTGCTTTTAAGTCACAGAGTTGAATATTCCCTTCAATAGAGCAGGTTTGAAACACTCTTTCTGTAGTATCTGGAAGTGGACATTTCGATCGATTTCAGGCCTATGTTGAAAAAGGAAATACCTTAACATAAAAACTAGACAGAAGCATTCTCAGAAACGTCTTTGTGATGTGTGTCCTCAACTAACAGAGTTCAACCTTTCTTATGATACAGCAGTTTGGAAACACTCTTTTTATAGAATTTGCAAGTTGATACATGGATAGCCCTAACTATTTCGTTGGAAACGGGAATATCTTCATATAAAACCTAGGCAGAAGCACTCTCAGAAACTACTTTGTGATATCTGCATTGATATCAGAGAGTTGAATATTCCCTTTCTAAGGGCAGGCTTGAAAGCGTCTTTTTGTGGAATCTGCAGGAGGATATTTGGATAGCTTTGAGGGTTACGTTGGAAACGGGATTACATATACAAAGTAGACAGCAGCATTCTCAGAAGCTTCTTTATGATGTTTGCGTTTAAGTCACAGAGTTGAACGTTCCCTTTCATAGAGCAGGTTTCAAACCCTCTTTCTGCAGTATCTGGAAGTGGACATTTCGAGCGCTTTCAGGCCTATGGTGAACAAGGAAATATCTTCCCATGCAAACTAGACAGAAGCATTCGCAGAAACTTGTTTGTGATGTGTGTCCTCAACTCACAGAGTTGAACATTTCGTTTGACAGAGCAGTTTGGAAACACGATTCTTGTAGAATCTGCAAGTGGATATTTGGATGGCTTTGTGGATTTCGTTGGAAACGGGAGTATCTTCATAGACAACCTAGACAGTAACATTCTCAGAAACGGCTTTGTGATATCCGCATTCACGTCACAAGTTGAACATTCCCTCTCATAGGGCAGGCTTGAAACACACTTTCTGTAGTATCTGGTTGTGGGCACTTGGAGCGCTTGGACGCTTATGGTGAAAAAGGAAATATCGTCCCATAAAAACTAGACAGAAGCATTCTCACAAACTGCTTTGTGATGTATGTCTTCAACTAACAGAGTTGAACATTTCTATTCACAGAGCAGTTTTGAAAGACTCTTTTGGAGTGTCTGCTATTGGATATTTGGAGAGCTTTAAGGATTTCATTGGAAACCGTAATATCTTCAGGTAAAATCTAGACAGAGGCATTCTCAGAAACTTGTTTGTAATGGGTGTCCTCAACTAACAGTGTACAACCTATCTTTTGATACAGCACGTTGGAAACACTCTTTTTATAGAATCTGCAAGTGGATAGTTGGATAGCTCTAACGATTTCGTTGGAAACGGGAAGGCCTTCATATAAAATCTAGGCAGTGGCACTCTCAGAAACTGCTTTGTGATATCTGCATTCAAGCCACAGAGTTGAACATTTCCCTTCCTAAAGCAGGTTTGAAACACTCTTTCTGTCGTATCTGGAAGTGGACATTTGGAGCACTTTGACGCCTTTGGTGAAAAAGGACATGTCTTCCCATCAAAACTAGACAGAAGCATTCTAAGAAACATTTTTGGGATATATGTACTCAACTAACAGAGTTGAACCTTTCTCTTTATAGATCAGTTTTGGAAAGCTCTGTATGTGGAATCTGCAGATGGATATTCGGATAGCTCTGAGGATTTCGTTGGAGACGGGAATACATAAAGAAAGTAGACAGCAGCATTCTCGGGAGATTCTTTGTGATGTTTGCTTTGAAGTCACAGAGTTGAATATTCCCTTCAATAGAGCAGGTTTGAAACACTCTTTCTGTAGTATCTGGAAGGGGACATTTCGATCGATTTCAGGCCTATGTTGAAAAAGGAAATATCTTAACATAAAAACTAGACAGAAGCATTCTCAGAAACGTCTTTGTGATGTGTGTCCTCAACTAACAGAGTTCAACCTTTCTTATGATACAGCAGTTTGGAAACACTCTTTTTATAGAATTTGCAAGTTGATACATGGATAGCCCTAACTATTTCGTTGGAAACGGGAATATCTTCATATAAAACCTAGACAGAAGCACTCTCAGGAAACTACTTTGTGATATCTGCATTCATATCACAGAGTTGAATATTCCCTTTCTAAGGGCAGGCTTGAAAGCGTCTTTTCGTGGAATCTGCAGGAGGATATTTGGATAGCTTTGAGGATTTCGTTGGAAACGGAATTACATATACAAAGTAGACAGCAGCATTCTCAGAAGCTTCTTTGTGATGTTTGCGTTTAAGTCACAGAGTTGAACGTTCCCTTTCATAGAGCAGGTTTCAAACCCTCTTTCTGCAGTATCTGGAAGTGGACATTTCGAGCGCTTTCAGGCCCATGGTGAACAAGGAAATATCTTCCCAAGCAAACTAGACAGAAGCATTCGCAGAAACTTGATTGTGATGTGTGTCCTCAACTCACGGAGTTGAACATTTCGTTTGACAGAGCAGTTTGGAAACACGATTTTTGTAGAATCTGCAAGTGGATATTTGGATGGCTTTGTGGATTTCGTTGGAAACGGGAGTATCTTCACAGACAACCTAGACAGTAACATTCTCAGAAACGGCTTTGTGATATCCGCATTCACGTCACAGAGTTGAACATTCCCTTTCATAGAGCAGGTTTGAAACACCCTTTCTGAAGTATCTGGATGTGGGCACTTGGAGCTCTTGGACGCTTATGGTGAAAAAGGAAATATCGTCCCATAAAACCTAGACAGAAGCATTCTCACAAACTGCTTTGTGACGTATGTCGTCAGCTAACAGAGTTGAGAATTTCTATTCACAGAGCAGTTTTGAAAGACTCTTTTGGAGTATCTGCTAGTGGATATGTGGAGAGCTTTAAGGATTTCACTGGAAACCGGAATATCTTCAGGTAAAATCTAGACAGAGGCATTCTCAGAAACTTCTTTGTAATGTGTGTCCTCAACTAACAGTGTACAACCTATCTTTTGATACAGCACGTTGGAAACACTCTTTTTATAGAATCTGCAAGTGGATATTTGGATAGCTCTAACGATTTCGTTGGAAACGGGAATACCTTCATATAAAATCTAGACAGTGGCACTCTCAGAAACTGCTTTGTGATATCTGCATTCAAGCCACAGAGTTGAACATTTCCCTTCCTAAAGCAGGTTTGAAACACTCTTTCTGTCGTATCTGGAAGTGGACATTTGGAGCACTTTGACGCCTTTGGTGAAAAAGGAAATGTCTTCCCATCAAAACTAGACAGAAGCATTCTAAGAAACATTTTTGGGATATATGTACTCAACTAACAGAGTTGAACCTTTCTCTTTATAGATCAGTTTTGGAAAGCTCTTTATGTGGAATCTGCAGATGGATATTCGGATAGCTCTGAGGATTTCGTTGGAGACGGGAATACATAAAGAAAGTAGACAGCAGCATTCTCGGGAGATTCTTTGTGATGTTTGCTTTTCAGTCACAGAGTTGAATATTCCTTTCAATAGAGCAGGTTTGAAACACTCTTTCCGTAGTATCTGGAAGTGGACATTTCGATCGATTTCAGGCCTATGTTGAAAAAGGAAACATCTTAACATAAAAACTAGACAGAAGCATTCTCAGAAACGTCTTTGTGATGTGTGTCCTCAACTAACAGAGTTCAACCTTTCTTATGATACAGCAGTTGGGAAACACTCTTTTTATAGAATTTGCAAGTTGCTACATGGATAGCCCTAACTATTTCGTTGGAAACGGGAATATCTTCACATAAAACCTAGACAGAAGCACTCTCAGAAACTACTTTGTGATATCTGCATTGATATCAGAGAGTTGAATATTCCCTTTCTAAGGGCAGGCTTGAAAGCGTCTTTTCGTGGAATCTGCAGGAGGATATTTGGATAGCTTTGAGGGTTACGTTGGAAACGGGATTACATGTACAAAGCAGACAGCAGCATTCTCAGAAGCTTCTTTATGATGTTTGCGTTCAAGTCACAGAGTTGAACGTTCCCTTTCATAGAGCAGGTTTCAAACCCTCTTTCTGCAGTATCTGGAAGTGGACATTTCGAGCGCTTTCAGGCCTATGGTGAACAAGGAAATATCTTCCCATGCAAACTAGACAGAAGCATTCGCAGAAACTTGTTTGTGATGTGTGTCCTCAACTCACAGTAGTTGAACATTTCTTTTGACAGAGCAGTTTGGAAACACGATTTTTGTAGAATCTGCAAGTGGATATTTGGATGGCTTTGTGGATTTCGTTGGAAACGGGAGTATCTTCATAGACAACCTAGACAGTAACATTCTCAGAAACGGCTTTGTGATATCCGCATTCACGTCACAGAGTTGAACATTCCCTTTCATAGAGCAGGTTTGAAACACACTTTCTGTAGTATCTGGATGTGGGCACTTGGAGCGCTTGGACGCTTATGGTGAAAAAGGAAATATCGTCCCATAAAAACTAGACAGAAGCATTCTCACAAACTGCTTTGAGACGTATGTCGTCAGCTAACAGAGTTGAACATTTCTATTCACAGAGCAGTTTTGAAAGACTCTTTTGGAGTATCTGCTAGTGGATATTTGGAGAGCTTTAAGGATTTCACCGGAAACCGGAATATCTTCAGGTAAAATCTAGACAGAGGCATTCTCAGAAACTTCTTTGTAATGTGTGTCCTCAACTAACAGTGTACAACCTATCTTTTGATACAGCACGTTGGAAACACTCTTTTTATAGAATCTGCAAGTGGATATTTGGATAGCTCTAACGATTTCGTTGGAAAAGGGAATACCTTCATATAAAATCTAGACAGTGGCACTCGCAGAAACTGCTTTGTGATATCTGCACTCAAGCCACAGAGTTGAACATTTCCCTTCCTAAAGCAGGTTTGAAACACTCTTTCTGTCGTATCTGGAAGTGGACATTTGGAGCACTTTGACGCCTTTGGTGAAAAAGGACATGTCTTCCCATCAAAACTAGACAGAAGCATTCTAAGAAACATTTTTGGGATATATGTACTCAACTAACAGAGTTGAACCTTTCTCTTTATAGATCAGTTTTGGAAAGCTCTTTATGTGGAATCTGCAGATGGATGTTCGGATAGCTCTGAGGATTTCGTTGGAGACGGGAATACATAAAGAAAGTAGACAGCAGAATTCTCAGGAGATTCTTTGTGATGTTTGCTTTAAAGTCACAGAGTTGAATATTCTCTTCCACAGATCAGGTTTGAAACACTCTTTCTGTAGTATCTGGAAGTGGACATTTCGAGCGATTTCAGGCCTATGTTGAAAAAGGAAATATCTTAACATAAAAACTAGACAGAAGCATTCTCAGCAAACGTCTTTGTGATGTGTGTCCTCAACTAACAGGAGTTCAACCTTTCTTATGATACAGCAGTTGGGAAACACTCTTTTTATAGAATTTGCAAGCTGATACATGGATAGCCCTAACTATTTCGTTGGAAACGGGAATATCTTCACATAAAACCTAGACAGAAGCACTCTCAGAAACTACTTTGTGATATCTGCATTGATATCAGAGAGTTGAATATTCCCTTTCTAAGGGCAGGTTTGAAAGCGTCTTTTCGTGGAATCTGCAGGAGGATATTTGGATAGCTTTGAGGGTTATGTTGGAAACGGGATTACATGTACAAAGCAGACAGCAGCATTCTCAGAAGCTTCTTTGTGATGTTTGCGTTTAAGTCACAGAGTTGAACGTTCCCTTTCATAGAGCAGGTTTCAAACCCTCTTTCTGCAGTATCTGGAAGTGGACATTTCGAGCGCTTTCAGGCCCGTGGTGAACAAGGAAATATCTTCCCATGCAAACTAGACAGAAGCATTCGCAGAAACTTGTTTGTGATGTGTGTCCTCAACTCACGGAGTTGAACATTTCGTTTGACAGAGCAGTTTGGAAACACGATTTTTGTAGAATCTGCAAGTGGATATTTGGATGGCTTTGTGGATTTCGTTGGAAACGGGAGTATCTTCATAGACAACCTAGACAGTAACATGCTCAGAAACTGCTTTGTGATATCTGCATTCACGTCACAGAGTTGAACATTCCCTTTCATAGAGCAGGTTTGAAACACACCTTCTGTAGTATCTGGATGTGGGCACTTGGAGCGCTTGGACGCTTATGGTGAAAAAGGACAGATCGTCCCATAAAAACTGGACAGAAGCATTCTCACAAACTGCTTTGTGACGTATGTCTTCAACTAACAGAGTTGAACATTTCTATTCACAGAGCAGTTTTGAAAGACTCTTTTGGAGTATCTGCTAGTGGATATTTGGAGAGCTTTAAGGATTTCATTGGAAACCGGAATATCTTCAGGTAAAATCTAGACAGAGGCATTCTCAGAAACTTCTTCATAATGTGTGTCCTCAACTAACAGTGTACAACCTATCATTTGATACAGCACGTTGGAAACACTCTTTTTATAGAATCTGCAAGTGGATAGTTGGATAGCGCTAACGATATCGTTGGAAACGGGAATACCTTCATATAAAATCTAGACAGTGGCACTCTCAGAAACTGCTTTGTGATATCTGCATTCAAGCCACAGAGTTGAACATTTCCCTTCCTAAAGCAGGTTTGAAACACTCTTTTTGTCGTATCTGGAAGTGGACATTTGGAGCACTTTGACGCCTTTGGTGAAAAAGGAAATGTCTTCCCATCAAAACTAGACAGAAGCATTCTAAGAAACATTTTTGGGATATATGTACTCAACTAACAGAGTTGAACCTTTCTCTTTATAGATCAGTTTTGGAAAGCTCTTTATGTGGAAACTGCAAATGGATATTCGGATAGCTCTGAGGATTTCGTTGGAGACGGGAATACATAAAGAAAGTAGACAGCAGCATTCTCGGGAGATTCTTTGTGATGTTTGCTTTTCAGTCACAGAGTTGAATATTCCTTTCAATAGAGCAGGTTTGAAACACTCTTTCCGTAGTATCTGGAAGTGGACATTTCGATCGATTTCAGGCCTATGTTGAAAAAGGAAATATCTTAACATAAAAACTAGACAGAAGCATTCTCAGAAACGTCTTTGTGATGTGTGTCCTCAACTAACAGAGTTCAACCTTTCTTATGATACAGCAGTTGGGAAACACTCTTTTTATAGAATTTGCAAGTTGATACATGGATAGCCCTAACTATTTCGTTGGAAACGGGAATATCTTCACATAAAACCTAGACAGAAGCACTCTGAGAAACTACTTTGTGATATCTGCATTGATATCAGAGAGTTGAATATTCCCTTTCTAAGGGCAGGCTTGAAAGCGTCTTTTCGTGGAATCTGCAGGAGGATATTTGGATAGCTTTGAGGGTTACGTTGGAAACGGGATTACATGTACAAAGTAGACAGCAGCATTCTCAGAAGCTTCTTTGTGATGTTTGCGTTTAAGTCACAGAGTTGAACGTTCCCTTTCATAGAGCAGGTTTCAAACCCTCTTTCTGCAGTATCTGGAAGTGGACATTTCGAGCGCTTTCAGGCCCATGGTGAACAAGGAAATATCTTCCCATGCAAACTAGACAGAAGCATTCGCAGAAACTTGTTTGTGATGTGTGTCCTCAACTCACGGAGTTGAACATTTCGTTTGACAGAGCAGTTTGGAAACACGATTTTTGTAGAATCTGCAAGTGGATATTTGGATGGCTTTGTGGATTTCGTTGGAAACGGGAGTATCTTCACAGACAACCTAGACAGTAACATGCTCAGAAACTGTTTTGTGATATCTGCATTCACGTCACAGAGTTGAACATTCCCTTTCATAGAGCAGGTTTGAAACACACTTTCTGTAGTATCTGGATGTGGGCACTTGGAGCGCTTGGACGCTTATGGTGAAAAAGGACAGATCGTCCCATAAAAACTGGACAGAAGCATTCTCACAAACTGCTTTGTGACGTATGTCTTCAACTAACAGAGTAGAACATTTCTATTCACAGAGCAGTTTTGAAAGACTCTTTTGGAGTATCTGCTAGTGGATATTTGGAGAGCTTTAAGGATTTCATTGGAAACCGTAATATCTTCAGGTAAAATCTAGACAGAGGCATTCTCAGAAACTTGTTTGTAATGGGTGTCCTCAACTAACAGTGTACAACCTATCTTTTGATACAGCACGTTGGAAACACTCTTTTTATAGAATCTGCAAGTGGATAGTTGGATAGCTCTAACGATTTCGTTGGAAACGGGAAGGCCTTCATATAAAATCTAGGCAGTGGCACTCTCAGAAACTGCTTTGTGATATCTGCATTCAAGCCACAGAGTTGAACATTTCCCTTCCTAAAGCAGGTTTGAAACACTCGTTTTGTCGTATCTGGAAGTGGACATTTGGAGCACTTTGACGCCTTTGGTGAAAAAGGAAATGTCTTCCCGTCAAAACTAGACAGAAGCATTCTAAGAAACATTTTTGGGATATATGTACTCAACTAACAGAGTTGAACCTTTCTCTTTATAGATCAGTTTTGGAAAGCTCTTTATGTGGAATCTGCAGATGGATATTCGGATAGCTCTGAGGATTTCGTTGGAGACGGGAATACATAAAGAAAGTAGACAGCAGCATTCTCAGGAGATTCTTTGTGATGTTTGCTTTTAAGTCACAGAGTTGAATATTCCCTTCAATAGAGCAGGCTTGAAACACTCTTTCTGTAGTATCTGGAAGTGGACATTTCGATCGATTTCAGGCCTATGTTGAAAAAGGAAATACCTTAACATAAAAACTAGACAGAAGCATTCTCAGAAACGGCTTTGTGATGTGTGTCCTCAACTAACAGAGTTCAACCTTTCTTATGATACAGCAGTTTGGAAACACTCTTTTTATAGAATTTGCAAGTTGATACATGGATAGCCCTAACTATTTCGTTGGAAACGGGAATATCTTCATATAAAACCTAGACAGAAGCACTCTCAGAAACTACTTTGTGATATCTGCCTTGATATCAGAGAGTTGAATATTCCCTTTCTAAGGGCAGGCTTGAAAGCGTCTTTTCGTGGAATCTGCAGGAGGATATTTGGATAGCTTTGAGGGTTAAGTTGGAAACGGGATTACATATACAAAGTAGACAGCAGCATTCTCAGAAGCTTCTTTGTGATATTTGCGTTTAAGTCACAGAGTTGAACGTTCCCTTTCATAGAGCAGGTTTCAAACCCTCTTTCTGCAGTATCTGGAAGTGGACATTTCGAGCGCTTTCAGGCCCATGGTGAACAAGGAAATATCTTCCCATGCAAACTAGACAGAAGCATTCGCAGAAACTTGTTTGTGATGTGTGTCCTCAACTCACAGAGTTGAACATTTCGTTTGACAGAGCAGTTTGGAAACACGATTTTTGTAGAATCTGCAAGTGGATATTTGGATGGCTTTGTGGATTTCGTTGGAAACGGGAGTATCTTCATAGAAAACCTAGACAGTAACATTCTCAGAAACGGCTTTGTGATATCCGCATTCACGTCACAGAGTTGAACATTCCCTTTCATAGAGCAGGTTTGAAACACCCTTTCTGTAGTATCTGGATGTGGGCACATGGAGCTCTTGGACGCTTATGGTGAAAAAGGAAATATCGTCCCATAAAACCTAGACAAAAGCATTCTCACAAACTGCTTTGTGACGTATGTCGTCAGCTAACAGAGTTGAGCATTTCTATTCACAGAGCAGTTTTGAAAGACTCTTTTGGAGTATCTGCTAGTGGATATGTGGAGAGCTTTAAGGATTTCACTGGAAACCGGAATATCTTCAGGTAAAATCTAGACAGAGGCATTCTCAGAAACTTCTTTGTAATGTGTGTCCTCAACTAACAGTGTACAACCTATCTTTTGATACAGCACGTTGGAAACACTCTTTTTATAGAATCTGCAAGTGGATATTTGGATAGCTCTAATGATTTCGTTGGAAACGGGAATCCCTTCATATAAAATCTAGACAGTGGCACTCGCAGAAACTGCTTTGTGATATCTGCATTCAAGCCACAGAGTTGAACATTTCCCTTCCTAAAGCAGGTTTGAAACACTCTTTCTGTCGTATCTGGAAGTGGACATTTGGAGCACTTTGACGCCTTTGGTGAAAAAGGAAATGTCTTCCCATCAAAACTAGACAGAAGCATTCTAAGAAACATTTTTGGGATATATGTACTCAACTAACAGAGTTGAACCTTTCTCTTTATAGATCAGTTTTGGAAAGCTCTTTATGTGGAATCTGCAGATGGATATTCGGATAGCTCTGAGGATTTCGTTGGAGACGGGAATACATAAAGAAACTAGACAGCAGCATTCTCGGGAAATTCTTTGTGATGTTTGCTTTGAAGTCACAGAGTTGAATATTCCCTTCAATAGAGCAGGTTTGAAACGCTCTTTCCGTAGTATCTGGAAGTGGACATTTCGATCGATTTCAGGCCTATGTTGAAAAAGGAAATATCTTAACATAAAAACTAGACAGAAGCATTCTCAGAAACGTCTTTGTGATGTGTGTCCTCAACTAACAGAGTTCAACCTTTCTTATGATACAGCAGTTGGGAAACACTCTTTTTATAGAATTTGCAAGTTGATACATGGATAGCCCTAACTATTTCGTTGGAAACGGGAATATCTTCACATAAAACCTAGACAGAAGCACTCTCAGAAACTACTTTGTGATATCTGCATTGATATCAGAGAGTTGAATATTCCCTTTCTAAGGGCAGGCTTGAAAGCGTCTTTTCGTGGAATCTGCAGGAGGATATTTGGATAGCTTTGAGGGTTACGTTGGAAACGGGATTACATGTACAAAGCAGACAGCAGCATTCTCAGAAGCTTCTTTATGATGTTTGCGTTCAAGTCACAGAGTTGAACGTTCCCTTTCATAGAGCAGGTTTCAAACCCTCTTTCTGCAGTATCTGGAAGTGGACATTTCGAGCGCTTTCAGGCCTATGGTGAACAAGGAAATCTCTTCCCATGCAAACTAGACAGAAGCATTCGCAGAAACTTGTTTGTGATGTGTGTCCTCAACTCACAGAGTTGAACATTTCGTTTGACAGAGCAGTTTGGAAACACGATTTTTGTAGAATCTGCAAGTGGATATTTGGATGGCTTTGTGGATTTCGTTGGAAACGGGAGTATCTTCATAGAAAACCTAGACAGTAACATTCTCAGAAACGGCTTTGTGATATCCGCATTCACGTCACAGAGTTGAACATTCCCTTTCACAGAGCAGGTTTGAAACACCCTTTCTGTAGTATCTGGATGTGGGCACTTGGAGCGCTTGGACGCTTATGGTGAAAAAGGAAATATCGTCCCATAAAAACTAGACAGAAGCATTCTCACAAACTGCTTTGTGACGTATGTCTTCAACTAACAGAGTTGAACACTTCTATTCACAGAGCAGTTTTGAAAGACTCTTTTGGAGTATCTGCTAGTGGATATTTGGAGAGCTTTAAGGATTTCATTGGAAACCGGAATATCTTCAGGTAAAATCTAGACAGAGGCATTCTCAGAAACTTCTTCGTAATGTGTGTCCTCAACTAACAGTGTACAACCTATCTTTTGATACAGTACGTTGGAAACACTCTTTTTATAGAATCTGCAAGTGGATAGTTGGATAGCTCTAACGATTTCGTTGGAAACGGGAATACCTTCATATAAAATCTAGACAGTGTCACTCCCAGAAACTGCTTTGTGATATCTGCATTCAAGCCACAGAGTTGAACATTTCCCTTCCTAAAGCAGGTTTGAAACACACTTTTTGTCATATCTGGAAGTGGACATTTGGAGCACTTTGACCCCTTTGGTGAAAAAGCAAATGTCTTCCCATGAAAACTAGACAGAAGCATTCTAAGAAACATTTCTGGGATATATGTACTCAACTAACAGAGTTGAACCTTTCTCTTTATAGATCAGTTTTGGAAAGCTCTTTATGTGGAATCTGCAGATGGATATTCGGATAACTCTGAGGATTTCGTTGGAGACGGGAATACATAAAGAAAGTAGACAGCAGCATTCTCAGGAGATCCTTTGTGATGTTTGCTTTTAAGTCACAGAGTTGAATATTCCCTTCAATAGAGCATGTTTGAAACACTCTTTCTGTAGTATCTGGAAGTGGACATTTCGATGGATTTCAGGCCTATGTTGAAAAAGGAAATACCTTAACATAAAAACTAGACAGAAGCATTCTCAGAAACGTCTTTGTGATGTGTGTCCTCAACTAACAGGGTTCAACCTTTCTTATGATACAGCAGTTTGGAAACACTCTTTTTATAGAATTTGCAAGTTGATACATGGATAGCCCTAACTATTTCGTTGGAAACGGGAATATCTTCATATAAAACCTAGACAGAAGCACTCTCAGAAACTACTTTGTGATATCTGCATTGATATCAGAGAGTTGAATATTCCCTTTCTAAGGGCAGGCTTGAAAGCGTCTTTTCGTGGAATCTGCAGGAGGATATTTGGATAGCTTTGAGGGATACGTTGGAAACGGGATTACATATACAAAGTAGACAGCAGCATTCTCAGAAGCTTCTTTATGATGTTTGCGTTCAAGTCACAGAGTTGAACGTTCCCTTTCATAGAGCAGGTTTCAAACCCTCTTTCTGCAGTATCTGGAAGTGGACATTTCGAGCGCTTTCAGGCCTATGGTGAACAAGGAAATATCTTCCCATGCAAACTAGACAGAAGCATTCGCAGAAACTTGTTTGTGATGTGTGTCCTCAACTCACAGAGTTGAACATTTCGTTTGACAGAGCAGTTTGGAAACACGATTTTTGTAGAATCTGCAAGTGGATATTTGGATGGCTTTGTGGATTTCGTTGGAAACGGGAGTATCTTCATAGAAAACCTAGACAGTAACATTCTCAGAAACGGCTTTGTGATATCCGCATTCACGTCACAGAGTTGAACATTCCCTTTCATAGAGCAGGTTTGAAACACCCTTTCTGTAGTATCTGGATGTGGGCACTTGGAGCGCTTGGACGCTTAGGGTGAAAAAGGAAATATCGTCCCATAAAAACTAGACAGAAGCATTCTCACAAACTGCTTTGAGACGTATGTCGTCAGCTAACAGAGTTGAACATTTCTATTCACAGAGCAGTTTTGAAAGACTCTTTTGGAGTATCTGCTAGTGGATATTTGGAGAGATTAAAGGATTTCACCGGAAACCGGAATATCTTCAGGTAAAATCTAGACAGAGGCATTCTCAGAAACTTCTTTGTAATGTGTGTCCTCAACTAACAGTGTACAACCTATCTTTTGATACAGCACGTTGGAAACACTCTTTTTATAGAATCTGCAAGTGGATATTTGGATAGCTCTAACGATTTCGTTGGAAACGGGAATACCTTCATATAAAATCTAGACAGTGGCACTCTCAGAAACTGCTTTGTGATATCTGCATTCAAGCCACAGAGTTGAACATTTCCCTTCCTAAAGCAGGTTTGAAACACTCTTTTTGTCGTATCTGGAAGTGGACATTTGGAGCACTTGACGCCTTTGGTGAAAAAGGAAATGTCTTCCCATCAAAACTAGACAGAAGCATTGTAAGAAACATTTTTGGGATATATGTACTCAACTAACAGGGTTGAACCTTTCTCTTTATAGATCAGTTTTGGAAAGCTCTTTATGTGGAATCTGCAAATGGATATTCGGATAGCTCTGAGGATTTCGTTGGAGACGGGAATACATAAAGAAAGTAGACAGCAGCATTCTCGGGAGATTCTTTGTGATGTTTGCTTTTAAGTCACAGAGTTGAATATTCCCTTCAATAGAGCAGGCTTGAAACACTCTTTCTGTAGTATCTGGAAGTGGCCATTTCGATCGATTTCAGGCCTACGTTGAAAAAGGAAATGTCTTAACATAAAAACTAGACAGAAGCATTCTCAGAAACGTCTTTGTGATGTGTGTCCTCAACTAACAGAGTTCAACCTTTCTTATGATACAGCAGTTTGGAAACACTCTTTTTATAGAATTTGCAAGCTGATACATGGATAGCCCTAACTATTTCGTTGGAAACGGGAATATCTTCACATAAAACCTAGACAGAAGCACTCTCAGAAACTACTTTGTGATATCTGCATTGATATCAGAGAGTTGAATATTCCCCTTCTAAGGGCAGGCTTGAAAGCGTCTTTTCGTGGAATCTGCAGGAGGATATTTGGATAGCTTGGAGGGTTACGTTGGAAACGGGATTACATATACAAAGTAGACAGCAGCATTCTCAGAAGCTTCTTTATGATGTTTGCGTTCAAGTCACAGAGTTGAACGTTCCCTTTCATAGAGCAGGTTTCAAACCCTCTTTCTGCAGTATCTGGAAGTGGACATTTCGAGCGCTTTCAGGCCTATGGTGAACAAGGAAATATCTTCAGATGCAAACTAGACAGAAGCATTCCCAGAAACTTGTTTGTGATGTGTGTCCTCAACTCACAGAGTTGAACATTTCGTTTGACAGAGCAGTTTGGAAACACGATTTTTGTAGAATCTGCAAGTGGATATTTGGATGGCTTTGTGGATTTCGTTGGAAACGGGAGTATCTTCATAGAAAACCTAGACAGTAACATTCTCAGAAACGGCTTTGTGATATCCGCATTCACGTCACAGAGTTGAACATTCCCTTTCATAGAGCAGGTTTGAAACACCCTTTCTGAAGTATCTGGATGTGGGCACTTGGAGCTCTTGGACGCTTATGGTGAAAAAGGAAATATCGTCCCATAAAACCTAGACAGAAGCATTCTCACAAACTGCTTTGTGACGTATGTCGTCAGCTAACAGAGTTGAGCATTTCTATTCACAGAGCAGTTTTGAAAGACTCTTTTGGAGTATCTGCTAGTGGATATGTGGAGAGCTTTAAGGATTTCACTGGAAACCGGAATATCTTCAGGTAAAATCTAGACAGAGGCATTCTCAGAAACTTCTTTGTAATGTGTGTCCTCAACTAACAGTGTACAACCTATCTTTTGATACAGCACGTTGGAAACACTCTTTTTATAGAATCTGCAAGTGGATATTTGGATAGCTCTAACGATTTCGTTGGAAACGGGAATCCCTTCATATAAAATCTAGACAGTGGCACTCGCAGAAACTGCTTTGTGATATCTGCATTCAAGCCACAGAGTTGAACATTTCCCTTCCTAAAGCAGGTTTGAAACACTCTTTCTGTCGTATCTGGAAGTGGACATTTGGAGCACTTTGACGCCTTTGGTGAAAAAGGAAATGTCTTCCCATCAAAACTAGACAGAAGCATTCTAAGAAACATTTTTGGGATATATGTACTCAACTAACAGAGTTGAACCTTTCTCTTTACAGATCAGTTTTGGAAAGCTCTTTATGTGGAATCTGCAGATGGATATTCGGATAGCTCTGAGGATTTCGTTGGAGACGGGAATACATAAAGAAAGTAGACAGCAGCATTCTCGGGAGATTCTTTGTGATGTTTGCTTTTCAGTCACAGAGTTGAATATTCCCTTCAATAGAGCAGGTTTGAAACACTCTTTCTGTAGTATCTGGAAGTGGCCATTTCGATCGATTTCAGGCCTATGTTGAAAAAGGAAATATCTTAACATAAAAACTAGACAGAAGCATTCTCAGAAACGTCTTTGTGATGTGTGTCCTCAACTAACAGAGTTCAACCTGTCTTATGATACAGCAGTTTGGAAACACTCTGTTTATAGAATTTGCAAGTTGATATATGGATAGCTCAAACTATTTCGTTTGAAACGGGAATATCTTCATATAAAATCTAGACAGAAGCACTCTCAGAAACTACTTTGTGATATCTGCATTGATATCAGAGAGTTGAATATTCCCTTTCTAAGGGAAGGCTTGAAAGCGTCTTTTCGTGGAATCTGCAGGAGGATATTTGGATAGCTTTGAGGGTTATGTTGGAAACGGGATTACATATACAAAGTAGACAGCAGCATTCTCAGAAGATTCTTTGTGATGTTTGCGTTTAAGTCACAGAGTTGAACGTTCCCTTTCATAGAGCAGGTTTCAAACCCTCCTTCTGCAGTATCTGGAAGTGGACATTTCGAGCGCTTTCAGGCCTATGGTGAACAAGGAAATATCTTCCCAAGCAAACTAGACAGAAGCATTCGCAGAAACTTGTTTGTGATGTGTGTCCTCAACTCACAGAGTTGAACATTTCGTTTGACAGAGCAGTTTGGAAACACGGTTTTTGTAGAATCTGCAAGTGGATATTTGGATGGCTTTGTGGATTTCGTTGGAAACGGGAGTATCTTCATAGACAACCTAGACAGTAACATTCTCAGAAACTGCTTTGTGATATCTGCATTCACGTCACAGAGTTGAACATTCCCTTTCATAGAGCAGGTTTGAAACACACTTTCTGTAGTATCTGGATGTGGGCACTTGGAGCGCTTGGACGCTTATGGTGAAAAAGGACATATCGTCCCATAATAACTGGACAGAAGCATTCTCACAAACTGCTTTGTGACGTATGTCTTCAACTAACAGAGTTGAACATTTCTATTCACAGAGCAGTTTTGAAAGACTCTTTTGGAGTATCTGCTAGTGGATATTTGGAGAGCTTTAAGGATTTCATTGGAAACCGGAATATCTTCAGGTAAAATCTAGACAGAGGCATTCTCAGAAACTTCTTCGTAATGTGTGTCCTCAACTAACAGTGTACAACCTATCTTTTGATACAGCACGTTGGAAACACTCTTTTTATAGAATCTGCAAGTGGATAGTTGGATAGCTCTAACGACTTCGTTGGAAACGGGAATACCTTCATATAAAATCTAGACAGTGGCACTCTCAGAAACTGCTTTGTGATATCTGCATTCAAGTCACAGAGTTCAACATTTCCTTTCTTAAAGCAGGTTTAAAACACTCTTTTGGTAGTATCTGGAAGTGGACATTTGGAGCACTTTGACGCCTTTGGTGAAAAAGGAAATGTCTTCACATCAAAACTAGACCGAAGCATTCTAAGAAACTTCTTTGGGATATATGTACTCAACTAACAGAGTTGAACCTTTCTCTTTATAGATCAGTTTTGAAAAGCTCTTTGTGTGGAATCTGCAAATGGTTATTAGGATAGCTCTGAGGATTTCGTTGGAGACGGGATTACATATAAAAAGTAGACAGCAGCATTCTCAGGAGATTCTTTGTGATGTTTGCTTTTAAGTCACAGAGTTGAATATTCCCTTCCATAGAGCAGGTTTGAAACACTCTTTCTGTAGTATCTGGAAGTGGACATTTCGGGCGATTTCAGGCCTATGTGGAAAAAGGAAATATCTTCCCATAAAAACTAGACAGAAGCATTCTCAGAAACGTCTTTGTGATGTGTGTCCTCAACTAACAGAGTTCAACCTTTCTTATGATACAGCAGTTTGGAAACACTCTTTTTATAGAATTTGCAAGTTGATACATGGATAGCCCTAACTATTTCGTTGGAAACGGGAATATCTTCATATAAAACCTAGGCAGAAGCACTCTCAGAAACTACTTTGTGATATCTGCATTGATATCAGAGAGTTGAATATTCCCTTTCTAAGGGCAGGCTTGAAAGCGTCTTTTTGTGGAATCTGCAGGAGGATATTTGGATAGCTTTGAGGGTTACGTTGGAAACGGGATTACATATACAAAGTAGACAGCAGCATTCTCAGAAGCTTCTTTGTGATGTTTGCGTTTAAGTCACAGAGTTGAACGTTCCCTTTCATAGAGCAGGTTTCAAACTCTCTTTCTGTAGTATCTGGATGTGGACATTTCGAGCGCTTTCAGGCCCGTGGTGAACAAGGAAATATCTTCCCATGCAAACTAGACAGAAGCATTCGCAGAAACTTGTTTGTGATGTGTGTCCTCAACTCAGGGAGTTGAACATTTCGTTTGACAGAGCAGTTTGGAAACACGATTTTTGTAGAATCTGCAAGTGGATATTTGGATGGCTTTGTGGATTTCGTTGGAAACGGGAGTATCTTCATAGACAACCTAGACAGTAACATGCTCAGAAACTGTTTTGTGATATCTGCATTCACGTCACAGAGTTGAACATTCCCTTTCATAGAGCAGGTTTGAAACACACTTTCTGTAGTATCTGGATGTGGGCACTTGGAGCGCTTGGACGCTTATGGTGAAAAAGGACAGATCGTCCCATAAAAACTGGACAGAAGCATTCTCACAAACTGCTTTGTGACGTATGTCTTCAACTAACAGAGTTGAACCTTTCTATTCACAGAGCAGTTTTGAAAGACTCTTTTGGAGTATCTGCTAGTGGATATTTGGAGAGCTTTAAGGATTTCATTGGAAACTGGAATATCTTCAGGTGCAATCTAGACAGAGGCATTCTCAGAAACTTCTTTGTAATGTGTGTCCTCAACTAACAGTGTACAACCTATCTTTTGATACAGCACGTTGGAAACACTCTTTTTATAGAATCTGCAAGTGGATATTTGGATAGCTCTAACGATTTCGTTGGAAATGGGAGTACCTTCATATAAAATCTAGACAGTGGCACTCTCAGAAACTGCTTTGTGATATCTGCATTCAAGCCACAGAGTTGAAAATTTCCCTTCCTAAAGCACGTTTGAAACACTCTTTCTGTCATATCTGGAAGTGGACATTTGGAGCACTTTGACGCCTTTGGTGAAAAAGGAAATGTCTTCCCATCAAAACTAGACAGAAGCATTCTAAGAAACATTTTTGGGATATATGTACTCAACTAACAGAGTTGAACCTTTCTCTTTATAGATCAGCTTTGGAAAGCTCTTTATTTGGGATCTGCAGATGGATATTCAGATAGATCTGAGGATTTCGTCGGAGACGGGAATACATAAAGAAAGTAGACAGCAGCATTCCCAGGAGATTCTTTGTGATGTTTGCTTTTAAGTCACAGAGTTGAATATTCCCTTCAATAGAGCAGGTTTGAAACACTCTTTCTGTAGTATCTGGAAGTGGACATTTCGATCGATTTCAGGCCTATGTTGAAAAAGGAAATACCTTAACATCAAAACTAGACAGAAGCATTCTCAGAAACGTCTTTGTGATGTGTGTCCTCAAATAACAGAGTTCAACCTTTCTTATGATACAGCAGTTTGGAAACACTCTTTTTATAGAATTTGCAAGTTGATACATGCATAGCCCTAACTATTTCGTTGGAAACGGGAATATCTTCATATAAAACCTAGACAGAAGCACTCTCAGAAACTACTTTGTGATATCTGCATTGATATCAGAGAGTTGAATATTCCCTTTCTAAGGGCAGGCTTGAAAGCGTCTTTTCGTGGAATCTGCAGGAGGATATTTGGATAGCTTGGAGGGATACGTTGGAAACGGGATTACATATACAAAGTAGACAGCAGCATTCTCAGAAGCTTCTTTGTGATGTTTGCGTTTAAGTCACAGAGTTGAACGTTCCCTTTCATAGAGCAGGTTTCAAACCCTCTTTCTGCAGTATCTGGAAGTGGACATTTCGAGCGCTTTCAGGCCCATGGTGAACAAGGAAATATCTTCCCATGCAAACTAGACAGAAGCATTCGCAGAAACTTGTTTGTGATGTGTGTCCTCAACTCACAGAGTTGAACATTTCGTTTGACAGAGCAGTTTGGAAACACGATTTTTGTAGAATCTGCAAGTGGATATTTGGATGGCTTTGTGGATTTCGTTGGAAACGGGAGTATCTTCACAGACAACCTAGACAGTAACATGCTCAGAAACTGCTTTGTGATATCTGCATTCACGTCACAGAGTTGAACATTCCCTTTCATAGAGCAGGTTTGAAACACACTTTCTGTAGTATCTGGATGTGGGCACTTGGAGCGCTTGGACGCTTATGGTGAAAAAGGACAGATCGTCCCATAAAAACTGGACAGAAGCATTCTCACAAACTGCTTTGTGACGTATGTCTTCAACTAACAGAGTTGAACATTTCTATTTACAGAGCAGTTTTGAAAGACTCTTTTGGAGTATCTGCTAGTGGATATTTGGAGAGCTTTAAGGATTTCATTGGAAACCGGAATATCTTCAGGTAAAATCTAGACAGAGGCATTCTCAGAAACTTCTTCGTAATGTGTGTCCTCAACTAACAGTGTACAACCTATCTTTTGATACAGCACGTTGGAAACACTCTTTTTATAGAATCTGCAAGTGGATAGTTGGGTAGCTCTAACGATTTCGTTGGAAACGGGAATACCTTCATATAAAATCTAGACAGTGGCACTCTCAGAAAACTGCTTTGTGATATCTGCATTCAAGCCACAGAGTTGAACATTTCCCTTCCTAAAGCAGGTTTGAAACACTCTTTCTGTCGTATCTGGAAGTGGACATTTGGAGCACTTTGACGCCTTTGGTGAAAAAGGAAATGTCTTCCCATGAAAACTAGACAGAAGCATTCTAAGAAACATTTTTGGGATATATGTACTCAACTAACAGAGTTGAACCTTTCTCTTTATAGATCAGTTTTGGAAAGCTCTTTATGTGGAATCTGCAGATGGATATTCGGATAGCTCTGAGGATTTCGTTGGAGACGGGAATACATAAAGAAAGTAGACAGCAGCATTCTCAGGAGATTCTTTGTGATGTTTGCTTTTAAGTCACAGAGTTGAATATTCCCTTCAATAGAGCAGGTTTGAAACACTCTTTCTGTAGTATCTGGAAGTGGACATTTCGATCGATTTCAGGCCTATGTTGTAAAAGGAAATACCTTAACATAAAAACTAGACAGAAGCATTCTCAGAAACGTCTTTGTGATGTGTGTCCTCAACTAACAGAGTTCAACCTTTCTTATGATACAGCAGTTTGGAAACACTCTTTTTATAGAATTTGCAAGTTGATACATGGATAGCCCTAACTATTTCGTTGGAAACGGGAATATCTTCATATAAAACCTAGACAGAAGCACTCTCAGAAACTATTTTGTGATATCTGCATTGATATCAGAGAGTTGAATATTCCCTTTCTAAGGGAAGGCTTGAAAGCGTCTTTTCGTGGAATCTGCTGGAGGATATTTGGATAGCTTTGAGGGTTACGTTGGAAACGGGATTACATATACAAAGTAGACAGCAGCATTCTCAGAAGCTTCTTTGTGATGTTTGCGTTTAAGTCACAGAGTTGAACGTTCCCTTTCATAGAGCAGGTTTCAAACCCTCTTTCTGCAGTATCTGGAAGTGGACATTTCGAGCGCTTTCAGGCCCATGGTGAACAAGGAAATATCTTCCCATGCAAACTAGACAGAAGCATTCGCAGAAACTTGTTTGTGATGTGTGTCCTCAACTCACGGAGTTGAACATTTCGTTTGACAGAGCAGTTTGGAAACACGATTTTTGTAGAATCTGCAAGTGGATATTTGGATGGCTTTGTGGATTTCGTTGGAAACGGGAGTATCTTCACAGACAACCTAGACAGTAACATTCTCAGAAACTGCTTTGTGATATCTGCATTCACGTCACAGAGTTGAACATTCCCTTTCATAGAGCAGGTTTGAACCACACTTTCTGTAGTATCTGGATGTGGGCACTTGGAGCGCTTGGACGCTTATGGTGAAAAAGGACATATCGTCCCATAAAATCTGGACAGAATCATTCTCACAAACTGCTTTGTGACGTATGTCTTCAACTAACAGAGTTGAACATTTCTATTCACAGAGCAGTTTCGAAGGAGTCTTTTGGAGTATCTGCTAGTTGATATTTGGAGAGCTTTAAGGATTTCATTGGAAACCGGAATATCTTCAGGTAAAATCTAGACAGAGGCATTCTCAGAAACTTCTTTGTAATGTGTGTCCTCAACTAACAGTGTACAACCTATCTTTTGATACAGCACGTTGGAAACACTCTTTTTATAGAATCTGCAAGTGGATATTTGGATAGCTCTAACGATTTCGTTGGAAACGGGAATACCTTCATAAAAAATCTAGACAGTGGCACTCTCAGAAACTGCTTTGTGATATCTGCATTCAAGCCACAGAGTTGAACATTTCCCTTCCTAAAGCAGGTTTGAAACACTCTTTTTGTCGTATCTGGAAGTGGACATTTGGAGCACTTTGACGCCTTTGGTGAAAAAGGAAATGTCTTCCCATGAAAACTAGACAGAAGCATTCTAAGAAACATTTTTGGGATATATGTACTCAACTAACAGAGTTGAACCTTTCTCTTTATAGATCAGTTTTGGAAAGCTCTTTATGTGGAATCTGCAGATGGATATTCGGATAGCTCTGAGGATTTCGTTGGAGACGGGAATACATAAAGAAAGTAGACAGCAGCATTCTCGGGAGATTCTTTGTGATGTTTGCTTTTCAGTCACAGAGTTGAATATTCCCTTCAATAGAGCAGGTTTGAAACACTCTTTCTGTAGTATCTGGAAGTGGCCATTTCGATCGATTTCAGGCCTATGTTGAAAAAGGAAATATCTTAACATAAAAACTAGACAGAAGCATTCTCAGAAACGTCTTTGTGATGTGTGTCCTCAACTAACAGAGTTCAACCTTTCTTATGATACAGCAGTTGGGAAACACTCTTTTTATAGAATTTGCAAGTTGGTACATGGATAGCCCTAACTATTTTGTTGGAAACGGGAATATCTTCACATAAAACCTAGACAGAAGCACTCTCAGAAACTACTTTGTGATATCTGCATTGATATCAGAGAGTTGAATATTCCCTTTCTAAGGGCAGGCTTGAAAGCGTCTTTTCCTGGAATCTGCAGGAGGATATTTGGATAGCTTTGAGGGTTACGTTGGAAACGGGATTACATGTACAAAGCAGACAGCAGCATTCTCAGAAGCTTCTTTATGATGTTTGCGTTCAAGTCACAGAGTTGAACGTTCCCTTTCATAGAGCAGGTTTCAAACCCTCTTTCTGCAGTATCTGGAAGTGGACATTTCGAGCGCTTTCAGGCCTATGGTGAACAAGGAAATATCTTCCCATGCAAACTAGACAGAAGCATTCGCAGAAACTTGTTTGTGATTTGTGTCCTCAACTCACAGAGTTGAACATTTCGTTTGACAGAGCAGTTTGGAAACACGATTTTTGTAGAATCTGCAAGTGGATATTTGGATGGCTTTGTGGATTTCGTTGGAAACGGGAGTATCTTCATAGAAAACCTAGACAGTAACATTCTCAGAAACGGCTTTGTGATATCCGCATTCACGTCACAGAGTTGAACATTCCCTTTCATAGAGCAGGTTTGAAACACCCTTTCTGAAGTATCTGGATGTGGGCACTTGGAGCTCTTGGACGCTTATGGTGAAAAAGGAAATATCGTCCCATAAAACCTAGACAGAAGCATTCTCACAAACTGCTTTGTGACGTATGTCGTCAGCTAACAGAGTTGAGCATTTCTATTCACAGAGCAGTTTTCAAAGACTCTTTTGGAGTATCTGCTAGTGGATATGTGGAGAGCTTTAAGGATTTCACTGGAAACCGGAATATCTTCAGGTAAAATCTAGACAGAGGCATTCTCAGAAACTTCTTTGTAATGTGTGTCCTCAACTAACAGTGTACAACCTATCTTTTGATACAGCACGTTGGAAACACTCTTTTTATAGAATCTGCAAGTGGATATTTGGATAGCTCTAACGATTTCGTTGGAAACGGGAATACCTTCATATAAAATCTAGACAGTGGCACTCGCAGAAACTGCTTTGTGATATCTGCATTCAAGCCACAGAGTTGAACATTTCCCTTCCTAAAGCAGGTTTGAAACACTCTTTCTGTCGTATCTGGAAGTGGACATTTGGAGCACTTTGACGCCTTTGGTGAAAAAGGAAATGTCTTCCCATCAAAACTAGACAGAAGCATTCTAAGAAACATTTTTGGGATATATGTACTCAAGTAACAGAGTTGAACCTTTCTCTTTATAGATCAGTTTTGGAAAGCTCTTTATGTGGAATCTGCAGATGGATATTCGGATAGCTCTGAGGATTTCGTTGGAGACGGGAATACATAAAGAAAGTAGACAGCAGCATTCTCGGGAGATTCTTTGTGATGTTTGCTTTTAAGTCACAGAGTTGAATATTCCCTTCAATAGAACAGATTTGAAACACTCTTTCTGTAGTATCTGAAAGTGGACATTTCGATCGATTTCAGGGCTATGTTGAAAAAGGAAATATCGTAACATAAAAACTAGACAGAAGCATTCTCAGAAACGTCTTTGTGATGTGTGTCCTCAACTAACAGAGTTCAACCTTTCTTATGATACAGCAGTTTGGAAACACTCTTTTTATAGAATTTGCAAGTTGATACATGGATAGCCCTAACTATTTCGTTGGAAACGGGAATATCTTCATAGAAAACCTAGACAGAAACACTCTCAGAAACTACTTTGTGATATCTGCGTTGATATCAGAGAGTTGAATATTCCCTTTCTAAGGGCAGGCTTGAAAGCGTCTTTGCGTGGAATCTGCAGGAGGATATTTGGATAGCTTTGAGGGTTACGTTGGAAACGGGATTACATATACAAAGTAGACAGCAGCATTCTCAGAAGCTTCTTTATGATGTTTGCGTTCAAGTCACAGAGTTGAACGTTCCCTTTCATAGAGCAGGTTTCAAACCCTCTTTCTGCAGTATCTGGAAGTGGACATTTCGAGGGCTTTCAGGCCTATGGTGAACAAGGAAATATCTTCCCATGCAAACTAGACAGAAGCATTCGCAGAAACTTGTTTGTGATGTGTGTCCTCAGCTCACAGAGTTGAACATTTCGTATGACAGAGCAGTTTGGAAACACGATTTTTGCAGAATCTGCAAGTGGATATTTGGATGGCTTTGTGGATTTCGTTGGAAACGGGAGTATCTTCATAGACAACCTAGACAGTAACATTCTCAGAAACGGCTTTGTGATATCCGCATTCACGTCACAGATTTGAACATTCCCTTTCATAGAGCAGGTTTGAAACACCCTTTCTGAAGTATCTGGATGTGGGCACTTGGAGCTCTTGAACGCTTATGGTGAAAAAGGAAATATCGTCCCATAAAACCTAGACAGAAGCATTCTCACAAACTGCTTTGTGACGTATGTCGTCAGCTAACAGAGTTGAGCATTTCTATTCACAGAGCAGTTTTGAAAGACTCTTTTGGAGTATCTGCTAGTGGATATGTGGAGAGCTTTAAGGATTTCACTGGAAACCGGAATATCTTCAGGTAAAATCTAGACAGAGGCATTCTCAGAAACTTCTTTGTAATGTGTGTCCTCAACTAACAGTGTACAACCTATCTTTTGATACAGCACGTTGGAAACACTCTTTTTATAGAATCTGCAAGTGGATATTTGGATAGCTCTAACGATTTCGTTGGAAACGGGAATACCTTCATATAAAATCTAGACAGTGGCACTCTCAGAAACTGCTTTGTGATATCTGCATTCAAGCCACAGAGTTGAACATTTCCCTTCCTAAAGCAGGTTTGAAACACTCTTTTTGTCGTATCTGGAAGTGGACATTTGGAGCACTTTGATGCCTTTGGTGAAAAAGGAAATGTCTTCCCATGAAAACTAGACAGAAGCATTCTAAGAAACATTTTTGGGATATATGTACTCAACTAACAGAGTTGAACCTTTCTCTTTATAGATCAGTTTTGGAAAGCTCTTTATGTGGAATCTGCAGATGGATATTCGGATAGCTCTGAGGATTTCGTTGGAGACGGGAATACATAAAGAAAGTAGACAGCAGCATTCTCGGGAGATTCTTTGTGATGTTTGCTTTTAAGTCACAGGGTTGAATATTCCCTTCAATAGAGCAGGTTTGAAACACTCTTTCTGTAGTATCTGGAAGTGGACATTTCGATCGATTACAGGCCTATGTTGAAAAAGGAAATATCTTAACATAAAAACTAGACAGAAGCATTCTCAGAAACGTGTTTGTGATGTGTGTCCTCAACTAACAGAGTTCAACCTTTCTTATGATACAGCAGTTTGGAAACACTCTTTTTATAGCGTTTGCAAGTTGATACATGGATAGCCTTAACTATTTCGTTGGAAACGGGAATATCTTCATATAAAACCTAGACAGAAGCACTCTCAGAATCTACTTTGTGATATCTGCATTGATAACAGAGAGTTGAATATTCCCTTTCTAAGGGCAGGCTTGAAAGCGTCTTTTTGTGGAATCTGCAGGAGGATATTTGGATAGCTTGGAGGGTTACGTTGGAAACGGGATTACATATACAAAGTAGACAGCAGCATTCTCAGAAGCTTCTTTATGACGTTTGCGTTTAAGTCACAGAGTTGAACGTTCCCTTTCATAGAGCAGGTTTCAAACCCTCTTTCTGCAGTATCTGGAAGTGGACATTTCGAGCGCTTTCAGGCCCGTGGTGAACAAGGAAATATCTTCCCATGCAAACTAGACAGAAGCATTCGCAGAAACTTGTTTGTGATGTGTGTCCTCAACTCACGGAGTTGAACATTTCGTTTGACAGAGCAGTTTGGAAACACGATTTTTGTAGAATCTGCTAGTGGATATTTGGATGGCTTTGTGGATTTCGTTGGAAACGGGAGTATCTTCATAGACAACCTAGACAGTAACATGCTCAGAAACTGCTTTGTGATATCTGCATTCACGTCACAGAGTTGAACATTCCCTTTCATAGAGCAGGTTTGAAACACACTTTCTGTAGTATCTGGATGTGGGCACTTGGAGCGCTTGGACGCTTATGGTGAAAAAGGACATATCGTCCCATTAAAACTGGACAAAAGCATTCTCACAAACTGCTTTGTGACGTATGTATTCAACTAACAGAGTTGAACATTTCTATTCACAGAGCAGTTTTGAAAGACTCTTTTGGAGTATCTGCTAGTGGATATTTGGAGAGCTTTAAGGATTTCATTGGAAACCGGAATATCTTCAGGTAAAATCTAGACAGAGGCATTCTCAGAAACTTCTTTGTAATGTGTGTCCTCAACTAACAGTGTACAACCTATCTTTTGATACAGCACGTTGGAAACACTCTTTTTATAGAATCTGCAAGTGGATATTTGGATAGCTCTAACGATTTCGTTGGAAACGGGAATACCTTCATATAAAATCTAGACAGTGGCACTCTCAGAAACTGCTTTGTGATATCTGCATTCAAGCCACAGAGTTGAACATTTCCCTTCCTAAAGCAGGTTTGAAACACTCTTTCTGTCGTATCTGGAAGTGGACATTTGGAGCACTTTGACGCCTTTGGTGAAAAAGGAAATGTCTTCCCATCAAAACTAGACAGAAGCATTATAAGAAACATTTTTGGGATATATGTACTCAACTAACAGAGTTGAACCTTTCACTTTATAGATCAGTTTTGGAAAGCTCTTTATGTGGAATCTGCAGATGGATATTCGGATAGCTCTGAGGATTTCGTTGGAGACGGGAATACATAAAGAAAGTAGACAGCAGCATTCTCGGGAGATTCTTTGTGATGTTTGCTTTTAAGTCACAGAGTTGAATATTCCCTTCAATAGAGCAGGTTTGAAACACTCTTTCCGTAGTATCTGGAAGTGGACATTTCGATCGATTTCAGGCCTATGTTGAAAAAGGAAATATCTTAACATAAAAACTAGACAGAAGCATTCTCAGAAATGTCTTTGTGATGTGTGTCCTCAACTAACAGAGTTCAACCTTTCTTATGATACAGCAGTTTGGAAACACTCTTTTTATAGAATTTGCAAGTTGATACATGGATAGCCCTAACTATTTCGTTGGAAACGGGAATATCTTCATATAAAACCTAGACAGAAGCACTCTCAGAAACTACTTTGTGATATCTGCATTGATATCAGAGAGTTGAATATTCCCTTTCTAAGGGCAGGCTTGAAAGCGTCTTTTCGTGGAATCTGCAGGAGGATATTTGGATAGCTTTGAGGGTTACGTTGGAAACGGGATTACATATACAAAGTAGACAGCAGCATTCTCAGAAGCTTCTTTGTAATGTTTGCGTTTAAGTCACACAGTTGAACGTTCCCTTTCATGGAG
Source organism: Homo sapiens (assembly GCF_000001405.40). Taxonomy (NCBI): domain Eukaryota; kingdom Metazoa; phylum Chordata; class Mammalia; order Primates; family Hominidae; genus Homo; species Homo sapiens. The sequence goes on from NC_000018.10 coordinate 15,564,686, forward strand.
CAGGTTTCAAACCCTCTTTCTGCAGTATCTGGAAGTGGACATTTCGAGCGCTTTCAGGCCTATGGTGAACAAGGAAATATCTTCCCATGCAAACTAGACAGAAGCATTCGCAGAAACTTGTTTGTGATGTGTGTCCTCAACTCACAGAGTTGAACATTTCGTTTGACAGAGCAGTTTGGAAACACGATTTTTGTAGAATCTGCAAGTGGATATTTGGATGGCTTTGTGGATTTCGTTGGAAACGGGAGTATCTTCATAGAAAACCTAGACAGTAACATTCTCAGAAACGGCTTTGTGATATCCGCATTCACGTCACAGATTTGAACATTCCCTTTCATAGAGCAGGTTTGAAACACCCTTTCTGAAGTATCTGGATGTGGGCACTTGGAGCTCTTGAACGCTTATGGTGAAAAAGGAAATATCGTCCCATAAAACCTAGACAGAAGCATTCTCACAAACTGCTTTGAGACGTATGTCGTCAGCTAACAGAGTTGAACATTTCTATTCACAGAGCAGTTTTGAAAGACTCTTTTGGAGTATCTGCTAGTGGATATGTGGAGAGCTTTAAGGATTTCACCGGAAACCGGAATATCTTCAGGTAAAATCTAGACAGAGGCATTCTCAGAAACTTCTTTGTAATGTGTGTCCTCAACTAACAGTGTACAACCTATCTTTTGATACAGCACGTTGGAAACACTCTTTTTATAGAATCTGCAAGTGGATATTTGGATAGCTCTAACGATTTCGTTGGAAACGGGAATACCTTCATATAAAATCTAGACAGTGGCACTCTCAGAAACTGCTTTGTGATATCTGCATTCAAGCCACAGAGTTGAACATTTCCCTTCTTAAAGCAGGTTTGAAACACTCTTTTTGTTGTATCTGGAAGTGGACATTTGGAGCACTTTGACGCCTTTGGTGAAAAAGGAAATGTCTTCCCATCAAAACTAGACAGAAGCATTCTAAGAAACATTTTTGGGATATAGGTACTCAACTAACAGAGTTGAACCTTTCTCTTTATAGATCAGTTTTGGAAAGCTCTTTATGTGGAATCTGCAGATGGATATTCGGATAGCTCTGAGGATTTCGTTGGAGACGGGAATACATAAAGAAAGTAGACAGCAGCATTCTCAGGAGATTCTTTGTGATGTTTGCTTTTAAGTCACAGAGTTGAATATTCCCTTCAATAGAGCAGGTTTGAAACACTCTTTCTGTAGTATCTGGAAGTGGACATTTCGATCGATTACAGGCCTATGTTGAAAAAGGAAATATCTTAACATAAAAACTAGACAGAAGCATTCTCAGAAACGTCGTTGTGATGTGTGTCCTCAACTAACAGAGTTCAACCTTTCTTATGATACGGCAGTTGGGAAACACTCTTTTTATAGAATTTGCAAGTTGATACATGGATAGCCCTAACTATTTCGTTGGAAACGGGAATATCTTCATATAAAACCTAGACAGAAGCACTCTCAGAAACTACTTTGTGATATCTGCATTGATATCAGAGAGTTGAATATTCCCTTTCTAAGGGCAGGCTTGAAAGCGTCTTTTCGTGGAATCTGCAGGAGGATATTTGGATAGCTTGGAGGGATACGTTGGAAACGGGATTACATATACAAAGTAGACAGCAGCATTCTCAGAAGCTTCTTTATGATGTTTGCGTTCAAGTCACAGAGTTGAACGTTCCCTTTCATAGAGCAGGTTTCAAACCCTCTTTCTGCAGTATCTGGAAGTGGACATTTCGAGCGCTTTCAGGCCTATGGTGAACAAGGAAATATCTTCCCATGCAAACTAGACAGAAGCATTCGCAGAAACTTGTTTGTGATGTGTGTCCTCAACTCACAGAGTTGAACATTTCGTTTGACAGAGCAGTTTGGAAACACGATTTTTGTAGAATCTGCAAGTGGATATTTGGATGGCTTTGTGGATTTCGTTGGAAACGGGAGTATCTTCATAGAAAACCTAGACAGTAACATTCTCAGAAACGGCTTTGTGATATCCGCATTCACGTCACAGAGTTGAACATTCCCTTTCATAGAGCAGGTTTGAAACACCCTTTCTGAAGTATCTGGATGTGGGCACTTGGAGCTCTTGGACGCTTATGGTGAAAAAGGAAATATCATCCCATAAAACCTAGACAGAAGCATTCTCACAAACTGCTTTGTGACGTATGTCGTCAGCTAACAGAGTTGAGCATTTCTATTCACAGAGCAGTTTTGAAAGACTCTTTTGGAGTATCTGCTAGTGGATATGTGGAGAGCTTTAAGGATTTCACTGGAAACCGGAATATCTTCAGTTAAAATCTAGACAGAGGCATTCTCAGAAACTTCTTTGTAATGTGTGTCCTCAACTAACAGTGTACAACCTATCTTTTGATACAGCACGTTGGAAACACTCTTTTTATAGAATCTGCAAGTGGATATTTGGATAGCTCTAACGATTTCGTTGGAAACGAGAATCCCTTCATATAAAATCTAGACAGTGGCACTCTCAGAAACTGCTTTGTGATATCTGCATTCAAGCCACAGAGTTGAACATTTCCCTTCCTAAAGCAGGTTTGAAACACTCTTTTTGTCGTATCTGGAAGTGGACATTTGGAGCACTTTGACGCCTTTGGTGAAAAAGGAAATGTCTTCCCATGAAAACTAGACAGAAGCATTCTAAGAAACATTTTTGGGATATATGTACTCAACTAACAGAGTTCAACCTTTCTCTTTATATATCAGTTTTGGAAAGCTCTTTATGTGGAATCTGCAGATGGATATTCGGATAGCTCTGAGGATTTCGTTGGAGACGGGAATACATAAAGAAAGTAGACAGCAGCATTCTCAGGAGATTCTTTGTGATGTTTGCTTTTAAGTCACAGAGTTGAATATTCCCTTCAATAGAGCAGGTTTGAAACACTCTTTCTGTAGTATCTGGAAGTGGACATTTCGATCGATTTCAGGCCTATGTTGAAAAAGGAAATACCTTAACATAAAAACTAGACAGAAGCATTCTCAGAAACGTCTTTGTGATGTGTGTCCTCAACTAACAGAGTTCAACATTTCTTATGATACAGCAGTTTGGAAACACTCTTTTTATAGAATTTGCAAGTTGATACATGGATAGCCCTAACTATTTCGTTGGAAACGGGAATATCTTCATATAAAACCTAGGCAGAAGCACTCTCAGAAACTACTTTGTGATATCTGCATTGATATCAGAGAGTTGAATATTCCCTTTCTAAGGGCAGGCTTGAAAGCGTCTTTTCGTGGAATCTGCAGGAGGATATTTGGATAGCTTGGAGGGTTACGTTGGAAACGGGATTACATATACAAAGTAGACAGCAGCATTCTCAGAAGCTTCTTTGTGATGTTTGCGTTTAAGTCACAGAGTTGAACGTTCCCTTTCATAGAGCAGGTTTCAAACCCTCTTTCTGCAGTATCTGGAAGTGGACATTTCGAGCGCTTTCAGGCCCATGGTGAACAAGGAAATATCTTCCCATGCAAACTAGACAGAAGCATTCGCAGAAACTTGTTTGTGATGTGTGTCCTGAACTCACGGAGTTGAACATTTCGTTTGACAGAGCAGTTTGGAAACACGATTTTTGTAGAATCTGCAAGTGGATATTTGGATGGCTTTGTGGATTTCGTTGGAAACGGGAGTATCTTCACAGACAACCTAGACAGTAACATTCTCAGAAACGGCTTTGTGATATCCGCATTCACGTCACAGAGTTGAACATTCCCTTTCATAGAGCAGGTTTGAAACACCCTTTCTGTAGTATCTGGATGTGGGCACTTGGAGCGCTTGGACGCTTATGGTGAAAAAGGAAATATCGTCCCATAAAAACTAGACAGAAGCATTCTCAGAAACTGCTTTGTGACGTATGTCTTCAACTAACAGAGTGGAACATTTCTATTCACAGAGCAGTTTTGAAAGACTCTTTTGGAGTATCTGCTAGTGGATATTTGGAGAGCTTTAAGGATTTCATTAGAAACCAGAGTATTTCAGGTAAAATCTAGACAGAGGCATTCTCAGAAACTTCTTCGTAATGTGTGTCCTCAACTAACAGTGTACAACCTATCTTTTGATACAGCACGTTGGAAACACTCTTTTTATAGAATCTGCAAGTGGATAGTTGGATAGCTCTAACGATTTCGTTGGAAACGGGAATACCTTCATATAAAATCTAGACAGTGGCACTCTCAGAAACTGCTTTGTGATATCTGCATTCAAGCCACAGAGTTGAACATTTCCCTTCCTAAAGCAGGTTTGAAACACTCTTTTTGTCGTATCTGGAAGTGGACATTTGGAGCACTTTGACGCCTTTGGTGAAAAAGGAAATGTCTTCCCATGAAAACTAGACAGAAGCATTCTAAGAAACATTTTTGGGATATATGTACTCAACTAACAGAGTTGAACCTTTCTCTTTATAGATCAGTTTTGGAAAGCTCTTTATGTGGAATCTGCAGATGGATATTCGGATAGCTCTGAGGATTTCGTTGGAGACGGGAATACATAAAGAAAGTAGACAGCAGCATTCTCAGGAGATTCTTTGTGATGTTTGCTTTTAAGTCACAGAGTTGAATATTCCCTTCAATAGAGCAGGTTTGAAACACTCTTTCTGTAGTATCTGGAAGAGGACATTTCGATCGATTTCAGGCCTATGTTGAAAAAGGAAATACCTTAACATAAAAACTAGACAGAAGCATTCTCAGAAACGTCTTTGTGATGTGTGTCCTCAACTAACAGAGTTCAACCTTTCTTATGATACAGCAGTTTGGAAACACTCTTTTTATAGAATTTGCAAGTTGATACATGGATAGCCCTAACTATTTCGTTGGAAACGGGAATATCTTCATATAAAACCTAGACAGAAGCACTCTCAGAAACTACTTTGTGATATCTGCATTGATATCAGAGAGTTGAATATTCCCTTTCTAAGGGCAGGCTTGAAAGCGTCTTTTCGTGGAATCTGCAGGAGGATATTTGGATAGCTTTGAGGGTTACGTTGGAAACGGGATTACATGTACAAAGCAGACAGCAGCATTCTCAGAAGCTTCTTTATGATGTTTGCGTTCAAGTCACAGAGTTGAACGTTCCCTTTCATAGAGCAGGTTTCAAACCCTCTTTCTGCAGTATCTGGAAGTGGACATTTCGAGCGCTTTCAGGCCTATGGTGAACAAGGAAATATCTTCCCATGCAAACTAGACAGAAGCATTCGCAGAAACTTGTTTGTGATGTGTGTCCTCAACTCACAGAGTTGAACATTTCGTTTGACAGAGCAGTTTGGAAACACGATTTTTGTAGAATCTGCAAGTGGATATTTGGATGGCTTTGTGGATTTCGTTGGAAACGGGAGTATCTTCATAGAAAACCTAGACAGTAACATTCTCAGAAACGGCTTTGTGATATCCGCATTCACGTCACAGAGTTGAACATTCCCTTTCATAGAGCAGGTTTGAAACACCCTTTCTGTAGTATCTGGATGTGGGCACTTGGAGCTCTTGGACGCTTATGGTGAAAAAGGAAATATCGTCCCATAAAACCTAGACAAAAGCATTCTCACAAACTGCTTTGTGACGTATGTCGTCAGCTAACAGAGTTGAGCATTTCTATTCACAGAGCAGTTTTGAAAGACTCTTTTGGAGTATCTGCTAGTGGATATGTGGAGAGCTTTAAGGATTTCACTGGAAACCGGAATATCTTCAGGTAAAATCTAGACAGAGGCATTCTCAGAAACTTCTTTGTAATGTGTGTCCTCAACTAACAGTGTACAACCTATCTTTTGATACAGCACGTTGGAAACACTCTTTTTATAGAATCTGCAAGTGGATATTTGGATAGCTCTAACGATTTCGTTGGAAACGGGAATACCTTCATATAAAATCCTAGACAGTGGCACTCGCAAAAACTGCTTTGTGATATCTGCATTCAAGCCACAGAGTTGAACATTTCCCTTCCTAAAGCAGGTTTGAAACACTCTTTCTGTCGTATCTGGAAGTGGACATTTGGAGCACTTTGACGCCTTTGGTGAAAAAGGAAATGTCTTCCCATCAAAACTAGACAGAAGCATTCTAAGAAACATTTTTGGGATATATGTACTCAACTAACAGAGTTGAACCTTTCTCTTTATAGATCAGTTTTGGAAAGCTCTTTATGTGGAATCTGCAGATGGATATTCGGATAGCTCTGAGGATTTCGTTGGAGACGGGAATACATAAAGAAAGTAGACAGCAGCATTCTCAGGAGATTCTTTGTGATGTTTGCTTTTAAGTCACAGAGTTGAATATTCCCTTCAATAGAGCAGGTTTGAAACACTCTTTCTGTAGTATCTGGAAGTGGACATTTCGATCGATTTCAGGCCTATGTTGAAAAAGGAAATACCTTAACATAAAAACTAGACAGAAGCATTCTCAGAAACGTCTTTGTGATGTGTGTCCTCAACTAACAGTGTTCAACCTTTCTTATGATACAGCAGTTTGGAAACACTCTTTTTATAGAATTTGCAAGTTGATACATGGAGAGCCCTAACCATTTCCTTGGAAACGGGAATATCTTCATATAAAACCTAGACAGAAGCACTCTCAGAAACTACTTTGTGATATCTGCATTGATATCAGAGAGTTGAATATTCCCTTTCTAAGGGCAGGCTTGAAAGCGTCTTTTTGTGGAATCTGCAGGAGGATATTTGGATAGCTTTGAGGGTTACGTTGGAAACGTGATTACTTATACAAATTAGACAGCAGCATTCTCAGAAGCTGCTTTATGATGTTTGTTTTCAAGTCACAGAGTTCAACGTTCCCTTTCATAGAGCAGATTTCAAACCCTCTTTCTGCAGTATCTGGAAGTGGACATTTCGAGCGCTGTCAGGCCTATGGTGAACAAGGAAATATCTTCCCATGCAAACTAGACAGAAGCATTCGCAGAAACTTGTTTGTGATGTGTGTCCTCAACTCACAGAGTTGAACATTTCGTTTGACAGAGCAGTTTGGAAACACGATTTTTGTAGAATCTGCAAGTGGATATTTGGATGGCTTTGTGGATTTCGTTGGAAACGGGAGTATCTTCATAGAAAACCTAGACAGTAACATGCTCAGAAACTGTTTTGTGATATCTGCATTCATGTCACAGAGTTGAACATTCCCTTTCATAGAGCAGGTTTGAAACACACTTTCTGTAGTATCTGGATGTGGGCACTTGGAGCGCTTGGACGCTTATGGTGAAAAAGGACATATCGTCCCATAAAAACTGGACAGAAGCATTCTCACAAACTGCTTTGTGACTTATGTCTTCAACTAACAGAGTTGAACATTTCTATTCACAGAGCCGTTTTGAAAGACTCTTTTGGAGTGTCTGCTAGTGGATATTTGGAGAGCTTTAAGGATTTCATTGGAAACCGGAATATCTTCAGGTAAAATCCAGACAGAGGCATTCTCAGAAACTTCTTTGTGATGTGTGTCCTCAACTGACAGAGTACAACCTGTCTTTTGATACAGCAGTTTGAAAACACTCTTTTTGTAGAATCTGCAAGTGGATATTTGGATAGCTCTAACAATTTAATTGGAAACGGGAATAACTTCATATAAAATCTAGACAGTGGCACTCTCAGAAACTGCTTTGTGATATCTGCATTCAAGTCACAGAGTTCAACATTTCCTTTCTTAAAGCAGGTTTAAAACACTCTTTTGGTAGTATCTGGAAGTGGACATTTGGAGCACTTTGACGCCTTTGGTGAAAAAGGAAATGTCTTCACATCAAAACTAGACCGAAGCATTCTAAGAAACTTCTTTGGGATATATGTACTCAACTAACAGAGTTGAACCTTTCTCTTTATAGATCAGTTTTGAAAAGCTCTTTTTGTGGGATCTGCAAATGGATATTCGGATAGCTCTGAGGATTCCGTTGTAGACGGGATTACATATAAAAAGTAGACAGCAGCATTCTCGGGAGATTCTTTGTGATGTTTGCTTTTAAGTCACAGAGTTGAATATTCCCTTCAATAGAGCAGATTTGAAACACTCTTTCTGTAGTATCTGAAAGTGGACATTTCGATCGATTTCAGGGCTATGTTGAAAAAGGAAATATCGTAACATAAAAACTAGACAGAAGCATTCTCAGAAACGTCTTTGTGATGTGTGTCCTCAACTAACAGAGTTCAACCTTTCTTATGATACAGCAGTTTGGAAACACTCTTTTTATAGAATTTGCAAGTTGATACATGGATAGCCCTAACTATTTCGTTGGAAACGGGAATATCTTCATATAAAACCTAGGCAGAAGCACTCTCAGAAACTACTTTGTGATATCTGCATTGATATCAGAGAGTTGAATATTCCCTTTCTAAGGGCAGGCTTGAAAGCGTCTTTTTGTGGAATCTGCAGGAGGATATTTGGATAGCTTTGAGGGTTACGTTGGAAACGGGATTACATATACAAAGTAGACAGCAGCATTCTCAGAAGCTTCGTCATGATGTTTGCGTTTAAGTCACAGAGTTGAACGTTCCCTTTCATAGAGCAGGTTTCAAACCCTCTTTCTGCAGTATCTGGAAGTGGACATTTCGAGCGCTTTCAGGCCTATGGTGAACAAGGAAATATCTTCCCATGCAAACTAGACAGAAGCATTCGCAGAAACTTGTTTGTGATGTGTGTCCTCAACTCACAGAGTTGAACATTTCGTTTGACAGAGCAGTTTGGAAACACGACTTTTGTAGAATCTGCAAGTGGTTATTTGGATGGCTTTGTGGATTTCGTTGGAAACGGGAGTATCTTCATAGAAAACCTAGACAGTAACATTCTCAGAAACTGCTTTGTGTTATCTGCATTCACGTCACAGAGTTGAACATTCCCTTTCATAGAGCAGGTTTGAAACACACTTTCTGTAGTATCTGGATGTGGACACTTGGAGCGCTTGGTCGCTTATGGTGAAAAAGGAAATATCGTCCCATAAAAACTAGACAGAAGCATTCTCACAAACTGCTTTGAGACGTATGTCGTCAGCTAACAGAGTTGAACATTTCTATTCACAGAGCAGTTTTGAAAGACTCTTTTGGAGTATCTGCTAGTGGATATTTGGAGAGTTTAAGGATTTCACCGGAAACCGGAATATCTTCAGGTAAAATCTAGACAGAGGCATTCTCAGAAACTTCTTTGTAATGGGTGTCCTCAACTAACAGTGTACAACCTATCTTTTGATACAGCACGTTGGAAACACTCTTTTTATAGAATCTGCAAGTGGATAGTTGGATAGCTCTAAAGATTTCGTTGGAAACGGGAAGGCCTTCATATAAAATCTAGACAGTGGCACTCTCAGAAACTGCTTTGTGATATCTGCACTCAAGCCACAGAGTTGAACATTTCCCTTCCTAAAGCAGGTTTGAAACACTCTTTCTGTCGTATCTGGAAGTGGACATTTGGAGCACTTTGACGCCTTTGGTGAAAAAGGACATGTCTTCCCATCAAAACTAGACAGAAGCATTCTAAGAAACATTTTTGGGATATATGTACTGAACTAAGAGAGATGAACCTTTCTCTTTATAGATCAGTTTTGGAAAGCTCTTTATGTGGAATCTGCAGATGGATATTCGGATAGCTCTGAGGATTTCGTTGGAGACGGGAATACATAAAGAAAGTAGACAGCAGCATTCTCGGGAGATTCTTTGTGATGTTTGCTTTTAAGTCACAGAGTTGAATATTCCCTTCAATAGAGCAGGTTTGAAACACTCTTTCTGTAGTATCTGGAAGTGGCCATTTCGATCGATTTCAGGCCTATGTTGAAAAAGGAAATATCTCAACATAAAAACTAGACAGAAGCATTCTCAGAAACGTCTTTGTGATGTGTGTCCTCAACTAACAGAGTTCAACCTTTCTTATGATACAGCAGTTGGGAAACACTCTTTTTATAGAATTTGCAAGTTGATACATGGATAGCCCTAACTATTTCGTTGGAAACGGGAATATCTTCACATAAAACCTAGACAGAAGCACTCTCAGAAACTACTTTGTGATATCTGCATTGATATCAGAGAGTTGAATATTCCCTTTCTAAGGGCAGGCTTGAAAGCGTATTTTCGTGGAATCTGCAGGAGGATATTTGGATAGCTTTGAGGGTTACGTTGGAAACGGGATTACATATACAAAGCAGACAGCAGCATTCTCAGAAGCTTCTTTATGATGTTTGCGTTCAAGTCACAGAGTTGAACGTTCCCTTTCATAGAGCAGGTTTCAAACCCTCTTTCTGCAGTATCTGGAAGTGGACATTTCGAGCGCTTTCAGGCCTATGGTGAACAAGGAAATATCTTCCCATGCAAACTAGACAGAAGCATTCGCAGAAACTTGTTTGTGATGTGTGTCCTCAACTCACAGAGTTGAACATTTCGTTTGACAGAGCAGTTTGGAAACACGATTTTTGTAGAATCTGCAAGTGGATATTTGGATGGCTTTGTGGATTTCGTTGGAAACGGGAGTATCTTCATAGAAAACCTAGACAGTAACATGCTCAGAAACTGCTTTGTGATATCTGCATTCACGTCACAGAGTTGAACATTCCCTTTCATAGAGCAGGTTTGAAACACACTTTCTGTAGTATCTGGATGTGGGCACTTGGAGCGCTTGGACGCTTATGGTGAAAAAGGACATATCGTCCCATAAAAACTGGACAGAAGCATTCTCACAAACTGCTTTGTGACGTATGTCTTCAACTAACAGAGTTGAACATTTCTATTCACAGAGCAGTTTTGAAAGACTCTTTTGGAGTATCTGCTAGTGGATATTTGGAGAGTTTAAGGATTTCATTGGAAACCGGAATATCTTCAGGTAAAATCTAGACAGAGGCATTCTCAGAAACTTCTTCGTAATGTGTGTCCTCAACTAACAGTGTACAACCTATCTTTTGATACAGCACGTTGGAAACACTCTTTTTATAGAAACTGCAAGTGGATAGTTGGATAGCTCTAAAGATTTCGTTGGAAACGGGAATACCTTCATATAAAATCTAGACAGTGGCACTCTCAGAAACTGCTTTGTGATATCTGCATTCAAGCCACAGAGTTGAACATTTCCCTTCCTAAAGCAGGTTTGAAACACTCTTTTTGTCGTATCTGGAAGTGGACATTTGGAGCACTTTGACGCCTTTGGTGAAAAAGGAAATGTCTTCCCATGAAAACTAGACAGAAGCATTCTAAGAAACATTTTTGGGATATATGTACTCAACTAACAGGGTTGAACCTTTCTCTTTATAGATCAGTTTTGGAAAGCTCTTTATGTGGAATCTGCAGATGGATATTCGGATAGCTCTGAGGATTTCGTTGGAGACGGGAATACATAAAGAAAGTAGACAGCAGCATTCTCAGGAGATTCTTTGTGATGTTTGCTTTTAAGTCACAGAGTTGAATATTCCCTTCAATAGAGCAGGTTTGAAACACTCTTTCTGTAGTATCTGGAAGTGGACATTTCGATCGATTTCAGGCCTATGTTGAAAAAGGAAATACCTTAACATAAAAACTAGACAGAAGCATTCTCAGAAACGTCTTTGTGATGTGTGTCCTCAACTAACAGAGTTCAACCTTTCTTATGATACAGCAGTTTGGAAACACTCTTTTTATAGAATTTGCAAGTTGATACATGGATAGCCCTAACTATTTCGTTGGAAACGGGAATATCTTCATATAAAACCTAGGCAGAAGCACTCTCAGAAACTACTTTGTGATATCTGCATTGATATCAGAGAGTTGAATATTCCCTTTCTAAGGGCAGGCTTGAAAGCGTCTTTTCGTGGAATCTGCAGGAGGATATTTGGATAGCTTGGAGGGTTACGTTGGAAACGGGATTACATATACAAAGTAGACAGCAGCATTCTCAGAAGCTTCTTTGTGATGTTTGCGTTTAAGTCACAGAGTTGAACGTTCCCTTTCATAGAGCAGGTTTCAAACCCTCTTTCTGCAGTATCTGGAAGTGGACATTTCGAGCGCTTTCAGGCCCATGGTGAACAAGGAAATATCTTCCCATGCAAACTAGACAGAAGCATTCGCAGAAACTTGTTTGTGATGTGTGTCCTCAACTCACAGAGTTGAACACTTCGTTTGACAGAGCAGTTTGGAAACACGATTTTTGTAGAATCTGCAAGTGGATATTTGGATGGCTTTGTGGATTTCGTTGGAAACGGGAGTATCTTCATAGAAAACCTAGACAGTAACATTCTCAGAAACGGCTTTGTGATATCCGCATTCACGTCACAGAGTTGAACATTCCGTTTCATAGAGCAGGTTTGAAACACCCTTTCTGAAGTATCTGGATGTGGGCACTTGGAGCTCTTGGACGCTTATGGTGAAAAAGGAAATATCGTCCCATAAAACCTAGACAGAAGCATTCTCACAAACTGCTTTGTGACGTATGTCTTCAACTAACAGGAGTTGAACATTTCTATTCACAGAGCAGTTTTGAAAGACTCTTTTGGAGTATCTGCTAGTGGATATTTGGAGAGCTTTAAGGATTTCATTGGAAACCGGAATATCTTCAGGTAAAATCTAGACAGAGGCATTCTCAGAAACTTCTTTGTAATGTGTGTCCTCAACTAACAGTGTACAACCTATCTTTTGATACAGCACGTTGGAAACACTCTTTTTATAGAATCTGCAAGTGGATATTTGGATAGCTCTAACGATTTCGTTGGAAACGGGAATACCTTCATATAAAATCTAGACAGTTTCACTCTCAGAAACTGCTTTGTGATATCTGCATTCAAGCCACAGAGTTGAACATTTCCCTTCCTAAAGCAGGTTTGAAACACTCGTTTTGTCGTATCTGGAAGTGGACATTTGGAGCACTTTGACGCCTTTGGTGAAAAAGGAAATGTCTTCCCGTCAAAACTAGACAGAAGCATTCTAAGAAACATTTTTGAGATATATGTACTCAACTAACAGAGTTGAACCTTCCTCTTTATAGATCAGTTTTGGAAAGCTCTTTATGTGGAATCTGCAAGTGGATATTCGGATAGATCTGAGGATTTCGCTGGAGACGGGATTACATAAAGAAAGTAGACAGCAGCATTCTCGGGAGATTCTTTGTGATGTTTGCTTTGAAGTCACAGAGTTGAATATTCCCTTCAATAGAGCACGTTTGAAACACTCTTTCTGTAGTATCTGGAAGTGGACATTTCGATCGATTTCAGGCCTATGTTGAAAAAGGAAATATCGTAACATAAAGCTAGACAGAAGCATTCTCAGAAACGTCTTTGTGATGTGTGTCCTCAACTAACAGAGTACAACCTTTCTTATGATACAGCAGTTTGGAAACACTCTTTTTGTAGAATTTGCAAGTTGATACATGGATAGCCCTAACTATTTCCTTGGAAACGGGAATATCTTCATATAAAACCTAGACAGAAGCACTCTCAGAAACTACTTTGTGATATCTGCATTGATATCAGAGAGTTGAATATTCCCTTTCTAAGGGCAGGCTTGAAAGCGTCTTTTTTTGGAATCTGCAGGAGGATATTTGGATAGCTTTGAGTGTTACGTTGGAAACGGGATTACATGTACAAAGCAGACAGCAGCATTCTCAGAAGCTTCTTTATGATGTTTGCGTTTAAGTCACAGAGTTGAACGTTCCCTTTCATAGAGCAGGTTTCAAACCCTCTTTCTGCAGTATCTGGAAGTGGACATTTCGAGCGCTTTCAGGCCCATGGTGAACAAGGAAATATCTTCCCATGCAAACTAGACAGAAGCATTCGCAGAAACTTGTTTGTGATGTGTGTCCTCAACTCACAGAGTTGAACATTTCGTTTGACAGAGCAGTTTGGAAACACGATTTTTGTAGAATCTGCAAGTGGGTATTTGGATGGCTTTGTGGATTTCGTTGGAAACGGGAGTATCTTCATAGAAAACCTAGACAGTAACATGCTCAGAAACTGCTTTGTGATATCTGCATTCACGTCACAGAGTTGAACATTCCCTTTCATAGAGCAGGTTTGAAACACACTTTCTGTAGTATCTGGATGTGGGCACTTGGAGCGCTTGGACGCTTATGGTGAAAAAGGACAGATCGTCCCATAAAAACTGGACAGAAGCATTCTCACAAACTGCTTTGTGACGTATGTCTTCAACTAACAGAGTTGAACATTTCTATTCACAGAGCAGTTTTGAAAGACTCTTTTGGAGTATCTGCTACTGGATATTTGGAGAGCTTTAAGGATTTCATTGGAAACCGGAATATCTTCAGGTAAAATCTAGACAGAGGCATTCTCAGAAACTTCTTCGTAATGTGTGTCCTCAACTAACAGTGTACAACCTATCTTTTGATACAGCACGTTGGAAACACTCTTTTTATAGAATCTGCAAGTGGATAGTTGGGTAGCTCTAACGATTTCGTTGGAAACGGGAATACCTTCATATAAAATCTAGACAGTGGCACTCTCAGAAACTGCTTTGTGATATCTGCATTCAAGCCACAGAGTTGGACATTTCCCTTCCTAAAGCAGGTTTGAAACACTCTTTTTGTCGTATCTGGAAGTGGACATTTGGAGCACTTTGACGCCTTTGGTGAAAAAGGAAATGTCTTCCCATCAAAACTAGACAGAAGCATTCTAAGAAACATTTTTGGGATATATGTACTCAACTAACAGAGTTTAACCTTTCTCTTTATAGATCAGTTTTGGAAAGCTCTTTATGTGGAATCTGCAGATGGATATTCGGATAGCTCTGAGGATTTCGTTGGAGACGGGAATACATAAAGAAAGTAGACAGCAGCATTCTCAGGAGATTCTTTGTGATGTTTGCTTTTAAGTCACAGAGTTGAATATTCCCTTCAATAGAGCAGGTTTGAAACACTCTTTCTGTAGTATCTGGAAGTGGACATTTCGATCGATTTCAGGCCTATGTTGAAAAAGGAAATACCTTAACATAAAAACTAGACAGAAGCATTCTCAGAAACGTCTTTGTGATGTGTGTCCTCAACTAACAGAGTTCAACCTTTCTTATGATACAGCAGTTTGGAAACACTCTTTTTATAGAATTTGCAAGTTGATACACGGATACCCTAACTATTTCGTTGGAAACGGGAATATCTTCATATAAAACCTAGACAGAAGCACTCTCAGAAACTACTTTGTGATATCTGCATTGATATCAGAGAGTTGAATATTCCCTTTCTAAGGGCAGGCTTGAAAGCGTCTTTTCGTGGAATCTGCGGGAGGATATTTGGATAGCTTTGAGGGTTACGTTGGAAACGGGATTACATATACAAAGTAGACAGCAGCATTCTCAGAAGCTTCTTTATGATGTTTGCGTTTAAGTCACAGAGTTGAACGTTCCCTTTCATAGAGCAGGTTTCAAACCCTCTTTCTGCAGTATCTGGAAGTGGACATTTCGAGCGCTTTCAGGCCCATGGTGAACAAGGAAATATCTTCCCATGCAAACTAGACAGAAGCATTCACAGAAACTTGTTTCTGATGTGTGTCCTCAACTCACGGAGTTGAACATTTCGTTTGACAGAGCAGTTCGGAAACACGATTTTTGTAGAATCTTCAAGTGGATATTTGGATGGCTTTGTGGATTTCGTTGGAAACGGGAGTATCTTCATAGACAACCTAGACAGTAACATGCTCAGAAACTGCTTTGTGATATCTGCATTCACGTCACAGAGTTGAACATTCCGTTTCATAGAGCAGGTTTGAAACACACTTTCTGTAGTATCTGGATGTGGGCACTTGGAGCGCTTGGACGCTTATGGTGAAAAAGGACATATCGTCCCATAAAAACTGGACAGAAGCATTCTCACAAACTGCTTTGTGACGTATGTCTTCAACTAACAGAGTTGAACATTTCTATTTACAGAGCAGTTTTGAAAGACTCTTTTGGAGTATCTGCTAGTGGATATTTGGAGAGCTTTAAGGATTTCATTGGAAACCGGAATATCTTCAGGTAAAATCTAGACAGAGGCATTCTCAGAAACTTCTTCGTAATGTGTGTCCTCAACTAACAGTGTACAACCTATCTTTTGATACAGCACGTTGGAAACACTCTTTTTATAGAATCTGCAAGTGGATAGTTGGATAGCCCTAACGATTTCGTTGGAAACGGGAATACCTTCATATAAAATCTAGACAGTGGCACTCTCAGAAACTGCTTTGTGATATCTGCATTCAAGCCACAGAGTTGAACATTTCCCTTCCTAAAGCAGGTTTGAAACACTCGTTTTGTCGTATCTGGAAGTGGACATTTGGAGCACGTTGACACCTTTGGTGAAAAAGGAAATGTCTTCCCGTCAAAACTAGACAGAAGCATTCTAAGAAACATTTTTGAGATATATGTACTCAACTAACAGAGTTGAACCTTCCTCTTTATAGATCAGTTTTGGAAAGCTCTTTATGTGGAATCTGCAAGTGGATATTCGGATAGCTCTGAGGATATCGCTGGAGACGGGAATACATAAAGAAAGTAGACAGCAGCATTCTCGGGAGATTCTTTGTGATGTTTGCTTTGAAGTCACAGAGTTGAATATTCCCTTCAATAGAGCAGGTTTGAAACACTCTTTCCGTAGTATCTGGAAGTGGACATTTCGATCGATTTCAGGCCTATGTTGAAAAAGGAAATATCTTAACATAAAAACTAGACAGAAGCATTCTCAGAAACGTCTTTGTGATGTGTGTCCTCAACTAACAGAGTTCAACCTTTCTTATGATACAGCAGTTGGGAAACACTCTTTTTATAGAATTTGCAAGTTGATACATGGATAGCCCTAACTATTTCGTTGGAAACGGGAATATCTTCACATAAAACCTAGACAGAAGCACTCTCAGAAACTACTTTGTGATATCTGCATTGATATCAGAGAGTTGAATATTCCCTTTCTAAGGGCAGGCATGAAAGCGTCTTTTTTTGGAATCTGCAGGAGGATATTTGGATAGCTTTGAGTGTTACGTTGGAAACGGGATTACATGTACAAAGCAGACAGCAGCATTCTCAGAAGCTTCTTTATGATGTTTGCGTTCAAGTCACAGAGTTGAACGTTCCCTTTCATAGAGCAGGTTTCAAACCCTCTTTCTGCAGTATCTGGAAGTGGACATTTCGAGCGCTTTCAGGCCTATGGTGAACAAGGAAATATCTTCCCATGCAAACTAGACAGAAGCATTCGCAGAAACTTGTTTGTGATGTGTGTCCTCAACTCACAGAGTTGAACATTTGGTTTGACAGAGCAGTTTGGAAACACGATTTTTGTAGAATCTGCAAGTGGATATTTGGATGGCTTTGTGGATTTCGTTGGAAACGGGAGTATCTTCATAGAAAACCTAGACAGTAACATTCTCAGAAACGGCTTTGTGATATCCGCATTCACGTCACAGAGTTGAACATTCCCTTTCATAGAGCAGGTTTGAAACACCCTTTCTGTAGTATCTGGATGTGGGCACATGGAGCTCTTGGACGCTTATGGTGAAAAAGGAAATATCGTCCCATAAAACCTAGACAAAAGCATTCTCACAAACTGCTTTGTGACGTATGTCGTCAGCTAACAGAGTTGAGCATTTCTATTCACAGAGCAGTTTTGAAAGACTCTTTTGGAGTATCTGCTAGTGGATATGTGGAGAGCTTTAAGGATTTCACTGGAAACCGGAATATCTTCAGGTAAAATCTAGACAGAGGCATTCTCAGAAACTTCTTTGTAATGTGTGTCCTCAACTAACAGTGTACAACATATCTTTTGATACAGCACGTTGGAAACACTCATTTATAGAATCTGCAAGTGGATATTTGGATAGCTCTAACGATTTCGTTGGAAACGGGAATACCTTCATATAAAATCTAGACAGTGGCACTCTCAGAAACTGCTTTGTGATATCTGCATTCAAGCCACAGAGTTGAACATTTCCCTTCCTAAAGCAGGTTTGAAACACTCTTTTTGTCGTATCTGGAAGTGGACATTTGGAGCACTTTGACGCCTTTGGTGAAAAAGGAAATGTCTTCCCATGAAAACTAGACAGAAGCATTCTAAGAAACATTTTTGGGATATATGTACTCAACTAACAGAGTTGAACCTTTCTCTTTATAGATCAGTTTTGGAAAGCTCTTTATGTGGAATCTGCAGATGGATATTCGGATAGCTACTGAGGATTTCGTTGGAGACGGGAATACATAAAGAAAGTAGACAGCAGCATTCTCGGGAGATTCTTTGTGATGTTTGCTTTTAAGTCACAGAGTTGAATATTCCCTTCAATAGAGCAGGTTTGAAACACTCTTTCTGTAGTATCTGGAAGTGGCCATTTCGATCGATTTCAGGCCTATGTTGAAAAAGGAAATATCTTAACATAAAAACTAGACAGAAGCATTCTCAGAAACGTCTTTGTGATGTGTGTCCTCAACTAACAGAGTTCAACCTTTCTTATGATACAGCAGTTGGGAAACACCCTTTTTATAGAATTTGCAAGCTGATACATGGATAGCCCTAACTATTTCGTTGGAAACGGGAATATCTTCACATAAAACCTAGACAGAAGCACTCTCAGAAACTACTTTGTGATATCTGCATTGATATCAGAGAGTTGAATATTCCCTTTCTAAGGGCAGGCTTGAAAGCGTCTTTTCGTGGAATCTGCAGGAGGATATTTGGATAGCTTTGAGGGTTACGTTGGAAACGGGATTACATGTACAAAGCAGACAGCAGCATTCTCAGAAGCTTCTTTATGATGTTTGCGTTCAAGTCACAGAGTTGAACGTTCCCTTTCATAGAGCAGGTTTCAAACCCTCTTTCTGCAGTATCTGGAAGTGGACATTTCGAGCGCTTTCAGGCCTATGGTGAACAAGGAAATATCTTCCCATGCAAACTAGACAGAAGCATTCGCAGAAACTTGTTTGTGATGTGTGTCCTCAACTCACAGAGTTGAACATTTCGTTTGACAGAGCAGTTTGGAAACACGATTTTTGTAGAATCTGCAAGTGGATATTTGGATGGCTTTGTGGATTTCGTTGGAAACGGGAGTATCTTCATAGAAAACCTAGACAGTAACATTCTCAGAAACGGCTTTGTGATATCCGCATTCACGTCACAGAGTTGAACATTCCCTTTCATAGAGCAGGTTTGAAACACCCTTTCTGTAGTATCTGGATGTGGGCACTTGGAGCTCTTGGACGCTTATGGTGAAAAAGGAAATATCGTCCCATAAAACCTAGACAGAAGCATTCTCACAAACTGCTTTGTGACGTATGTCGTCAGCTAACAGAGTTGAGCATTTCTATTCACAGAGCAGTTTTGAAAGACTCTTTTGGAGTATCTGCTAGTGGAAATGTGGAGAGCTTTAAGGATTTCACTGGAAACCGGAATATCTTCAGGTAAAATCTAGACAGAGGCATTCTCAGAAACTTCTTTGTAATGTGTGTCCTCAACTAACAGTGTACAACCTATCTTTTGATACAGCACGTTGGAAACACTCTTTTTATAGAATCTGCAAGTGGATATTTGGATAGCTCTAACGATTTCGTTGGAAACGGGAATCCCTTCATATAAAATCTAGACAGTTGCACTCGCAGAAACTGCTTTGTGATATCTGCATTCAAGCCACAGAGTTGAACATTTCCCTTCCTAAAGCAGGTTTGAAACACTCTTTATGTCGTATCTGGAAGTGGACATTTGGAGCACTTTGACGCCTTTGGTGAAAAAGGAAATGTCTTCCCATCAAAACTAGACAGAAGCATTCTAAGAAACATTTTTGGGATATATGTACTCAACTAACAGAGTTGAAGCTTTCTCTTTATAGATCAGTTTTGGAAAGCTCTTTATGTGGAATCTGCAGATGGATATTCGGATAGCTCTGAGGATTTCGTTGGAGACGGGAATACATAAAGAAAGTAGACAGCAGCATTCTCGGGAGATTCTTTGTGATGTTTGCTTTGAAGTCACAGAGTTGAATATTCCCTTCAATAGAGCAGGTTTGAAACACTCTTTCTGTAGTATCTGGAAGTGGACATTTCGATCGATTTCAGGCCTATGTTGAAAAAGGAAATATCTTAACATAAAAACTAGACAGAAGCATTCTCAGAAACGTCTTTGTGATGTGTGCCCTCAACTAACAGAGTTCAACCTTTCTTATGATACAGCAGTTTGGAAACACTCTTTTTATAGAATTTGCAAGCTGATACATGGATAGCCCTAACTATTTCGTTGGAAACGGGAATATCTTCACATAAAACCTAGACAGAAGCACTCTCAGAAACTACTTTGTGATATCTGCATTGATATCAGAGAGTTGAATATTCCCTTTCTAAGGGCAGGCTTGAAAGCGTCTTTTCGTGGAATCTGCAGGAGGATATTTGGATAGCTTTGAGGGTTACGTTGGAAACGGGATTACATGTACAAAGCAGACAGCAGCATTCTCAGAAGCTTCTTTATGATGTTTGCGTTCAAGTCACAGAGTTGAACGTTCCCTTTCATAGAGCAGGTTTCAAACCCTCTTTCTGCAGTATCTGGAAGTGGACATTTCGAGCGATTTCAGGCCTATGGTGAACAAGGAAATATCTTCCCATGCAAACTAGACAGAAGCATTCGCAGAAACTTGTTTGTGATGTGTGTCCTCAACTCACAGAGTTGAACATTTGGTTTGACAGAGCAGTTTGGAAACACGATTTTTGTAGAATCTGCAAGTGGATATTTGGATGGCTTTGTGGATTTCGTTGGAAACGGGAGTATCTTCATAGAAAACCTAGACAGTAACATTCTCAGAAACTGCTTTGTGATATCTGCATTCACGTCACAGAGTTGAACATTCCCTTTCATAGAGCAGGTTTGAAACACACTTTCTGTAGTATCTGGATGTGGGCACTTGGAGCGCTTGGACGCTTATGGTGAAAAAGGACATATCATCCCATAAAAACTGGACAGAAGCATTCTCACAAACTGCTTTGAGACGTATGTCGTCAGCTAACAGAGTTGAACATTTCTATTCACAGAGCAGTTTTGAAAGACTCTTTTGGAGTATCTGCTAGTGGATATTTGGAGAGATTAAAGGATTTCACCGGAAACCGGAATATCTTCAGGTAAAATCTAGACAGAGGCATTCTCAGAAACTTCTTTGTAATGTGTGTCCTCAACTAACAGTGTACAACCTATCTTTTGATACAGCACGTTGGAAACACTCTTTTTATAGAATCTGCAAGTGGATATTTGGATAGCTCTAACGATTTCGTTGGAAACGGGAATACCTTCATATAAAATCTAGACAGTGGCACTCTCAGAAACTGCTTTGTGATATCTGCATTCAAGCCACAGAGTTGAACATTTCCCTTCCTAAAGCAGGTTTGAAACACTCTTTCTGTCGTATCTGGAAGTGGACATTTGGAGCACTTTGACGCCTTTGGTGAAAAAGGAAATGTCTTCCCATGAAAACTAGACAGACGCATTCTAAGAAACATTTTTGGGATATATGTACTCAACTAACAGAGTTGAACCTTTCTCTTTATAGATCACTTTTGGAAAGCTCTTTATGTGGAATCTGCAGATGGATATTCGGATAGCTCTGAGGATTTCGTTGGAGACGGGAATACATAAAGAAAGTAGACAGCAGCATTCTCAGGAGATTCTTTGTGATGTTTGCTTTTAAGTCACAGAGTTGAATATTCCCTTCAATAGAGCAGGTTTGAAACACTCATTCTGTAGTATCTGGAAGTGGACATTTCGATCGATTTCAGGCCTATGTTGAAAAAGGAAATACCTTAACATAAAAACTAGACAGAAGCATTCTCAGAAACGTCTTTGTGATGTGTGTCCTCAACTAACAGAGTTCAACCTTTCTTATGATACAGCAGTTTGGAAACACTCTTTTTATAGAATTTGCAAGTTGATACATGGATAGCCCTAACTATTTCGTTGGAAACGGGAATATCTTCATATAAAACCTAGACAGAAGCACTCTCAGAAACTACTTTGTGATATCTGCGTTGATATCAGAGAGTTGAATATTCCCTTTCTAAGGGCAGGCTTGAAAGCGTCTTTTCGTGGAATCTGCAGGAGGATATTTGGATAGCTTTGAGGGTTACGTTGGAAACGGGATTACATACACAAAGTAGACAGCAGCATTCTCAGAAGCTTCTTTATGATGTTTGCGTTCAAGTCACAGAGTTGAACGTTCCGTTTCATAGAGCAGGTTTCAAACCTTCTTTCTGCAGTATCTGGAAGTGGACATTTCGAGCGCTTTCAGGCCTATGGTGAACAAGGAAATATCTTCCCATGCAAACTAGACAGAAGCATTCGCAGAAACTTGTTTGTGATGTGTGTCCTCAACTCACGGAGTTGAACATTTCGTTTGACAGAGCAGTTTGGAAACACGATTTTTGTAGAATCTGCAAGTGGATATTTGGATGGCTTTGTGGATTTCGTTGGAAACGGGAGTATCTTCACAGACAACCTAGACAGTAACATTCTCAGAAACGGCTTTGTGATATCCGCATTCACGTCACAGAGTTGAACTTTCCCTCTCATAGAGCAGGCTTGAAACACACTTTCTGTAGTATCTGGATGTGGGCACTTGGAGCGCTTGGACGCTTATGGTGAAAAAGGAAATATCGTCCCATAAAAACTAGACAGAAGCATTCTCACAAACTGCTTTGTGACTTATGTCTTCAACTAACAGAGTTGAACATTTCTATTCACAGAGCCGTTTTGAAAGACTCTTTTGGAGTGTCTGCTAGTGGATATTTGGAGAGCATTAAGGATTTCATTGGAAACCGGAATATCTTCAGGTAAAATCTAGACAGAGGCATTCTCAGAAACTTCTTTGTAATGTGTGTCCTCAACTAACAGTGTACAACCTATCTTTTGATACAGCACGTTGGAAACACTCTTTTTATAGAATCTGCAATTGGATAGTTGGATAGCTCTAACGATTTCGTTGGAAACGGGAATACCTTCATATAAAATCTAGACAGTGGCACTCTCAGAAACTGCTTTGTGATATCTGCATTCAAGCCACAGAGTTGAACATTTCCCTTCCTAAAGCAGGTTTGAAACACTCTTTTTGTCGTATCTGGAAGTGGACATTTGGAGCACTTTGACGCCTTTGGTGAAAAAGGAAATGTCTTCCCATGAAAACTAGACAGAAGCATTCTAAGAAACATTTTTGGGATATATGTACTCAACTAACAGAGTTGAACCTTTCTCTTTATAGATCAGTTTTGGAAAGCTCTTTATGTGGAATCTGCAGATGGATATTCGGATAGCTCTGAGGATTTCGTTGGAGACGGGAATACATAAAGAAACTAGACAGCAGCATTCTCAGGAGATTCTTTGTGATGTTTGCTTTTAAGTCACAGAGTTGAATATTCCCTTCAATAGAGCAGGTTTGAAACACTCTTTCTGTAGTATCTGGAAGTGGACATTTCGATCGATTTCAGGCCTATTTTGAAAAAGGAAATACCTTAACATAAAAACTAGACAGAAGCATTCTCAGAAACGTCTTTGTGATGTGTGTCCTCAACTAACAGAGTTCAACCTTTCTTATGATACAGCAGTTGGGAAACACTCTTTTTATAGAATTTGCAAGTTGATACATGGATAGCCCTAACTATTTCGTTGGAAACGGGAATATCTTTACATGAAACCTAGACAGAAGCACTCTCAGAAACTACTTTGTGATATCTGCATTGATATCAGAGAGTTGAATATTCCCTTTCTAAGGGAAGGCTTGAAAGCGTCTTTTCGTGGAATCTGCGGGAGGATATTTGGATAGCTTTGAGGGTTACGTTGGAAACGGGATTACATATACAAAGTAGACAGCAGCATTCTCAGAAGCTTCTTTATGATGTTTGCGTTTAAGTCACAGTGTTGAACGTTCCCTTTCATAGAGCAGGTTTCAAACCCTCTTTCTGCAGTATCTGGAAGTGGACATTTCGAGCGCTTTCCGGCCCATGGTGAACAAGGAAATATCTTCCCATGCAAACTAGACAGAAGCATTCGCAGAAACTTGTTTGTGATGTGTGTCCTCAACTCACGGATTTGAACATTTCGTTTGACAGAGCAGTTCGGAAACACGATTTTTGTAGAATCTTCAAGTGGATATTTGGATGGCTTTGTGGATTTCGTTGGAAACGGGAGTATCTTCATAGACAACCTAGACAGTAACATTCTCAGAAACGGCTTTGTGATATCCGCATTCACGTCACAGAGTTGAACATTCCCTTTCATAGAGCAGGTTTGAAACACCCTTTCTGTAGTATCTGGATGTGGGCACTTGGAGCTCTTGGACGCTTATGGTGAAAAAGGAAATATCGTCCCATAAAACCTAGACAGAAGCATTCTCACAAACTGCTTTGTGACGTATGTCGTCAGCTAACAGAGTTGAGCATTTCTATTCACAGAGCAGTTTTGAAAGACTCTTTTGGAGTATCTGCTAGTGGATATGTGGAGAGCTTTAAGGATTTCACTGGAAACCGGAATATCTTCAGGTAAAATCTAGACAGAGGCATTCTCAGAAACTTCTTCGTAATGTGTGTCCTCAACTAACAGTGTACAACCTATCTTTTGATACAGCACGTTGGAAACACTCTTTTTATAGAATCTGCAAGTGGATAGTTGGATAGCTCTAACGATTTCGTTGGAAACGGGAATACCTTCATATAAAATCTAGACAGTGGCACTCTCAGAAACTGCTTTGTGATATCTGCATTCAAGCCACAGAGTTGAACATTTCCCTTCCTAAAGCAGGTTTGAAACACTCTTTCTGTCGTATCTGGAAGTGGACATTTGGAGCACTTTG
Source organism: Homo sapiens (assembly GCF_000001405.40). Classification (NCBI taxonomy): domain Eukaryota; kingdom Metazoa; phylum Chordata; class Mammalia; order Primates; family Hominidae; genus Homo; species Homo sapiens. The sequence goes on from NC_000018.10 coordinate 15,589,406, forward strand.
ACGCCTTTGGTGAAAAAGGAAATGTCTTCCCATGAAAACTAGACAGAAGCATTCTAAGAAACATTTTTGGGATATATGTACTCAACTAACAGAGTTGAACCTTTCTCTTTATAGATCAGTTTTGGAAAGCTCTTTATGTGGAATCTGCAGATGGATATTCGGATAGCTCTGAGGATTTCGTTGGAGACGGGAATACATAAAGAAAGTAGACAGCAGCATTCTCAGGAGATTCTTTGTGATGTTTGCTTTGAAGTCACAGAGTTGAATATTCCCTTCAATAGAGCAGGTTTGAAACACTCTTTCCGTAGTATCTGGAATTGGACATTTCGATCGATTTCAGGCCTATGTTGAAAAAGGAAATATCTTAACATAAAAACTAGACAGAAGCATTCTCAGAAACGTCTTTGTGATGTGTGTCCTCAACTAACAGAGTTCAACCTTTCTTATGATACAGCAGTTTGGAAACACTCTTTTTATAGAATTTGCAAGCTGATACATGGATAGCCCTAACTATTTCGTTGGAAACGGGAATATCTTCACATAAAACCTAGACAGAAGCACTCTCAGAAACTACTTTGTGATATCTGCATTGATACCAGAGAGATGAATATTCCCTTTCTAAGGGCAGGCTTGAAAGCGTCTTTTCGTGGAATCTGCAGGAGGATATTTGGATAGCTTTGAGGGTTACGTTGGAAACGGGATTACATATACAAAGTAGACAGCAGCATTCTCAGAAGCTTCGTCATGATGTTTGCATTTAAGTCACAGAGTTGAACGTTCCCTTTCATAGAGCAGGTTTCAAACCCTCTTTCTGCAGTATCTGGAAGTGGACATTTCGAGCGCTTTCAGGCCTATGGTGAACAAGGAAATATCTTCCCATGCAAACTAGACAGAAGCATTCGCAGAAACTTGTTTGTGATGTGTGTCCTCAACTCACAGAGTTGAACATTTCGTTTGACAGAGCAGTTTGGAAACACGATTTTTGTAGAATCTGCAAGTGGATATTTGGATGGCTTTGTGGATTTCGTTGGAAACGGGAGTATCTTCATAGACAACCTAGACAGTAACATTCTCAGAAACTGCTTTGTGATATCTGCATTCACGTCACAGAGTTGAACATTCCCTTTCATAGAGCAGGTTTGAAACACACTTTCTGTAGTATCTGGATGTGGGCACTTGGAGCGCTTGGACGCTTATGGTGAAAAAGGACATATCATCCCATAAAAACTGGACAGAAGCATTCTCACAAACTGCTTTGTGACGTATGTCGTCAGCTAACAGAGTTGAGCATTTCTATTCACAGAGCAGTTTTGAAAGACTCTTTTGGAGTATCTGCTAGTGGATATGTGGAGAGCTTTAAGGATTTCACTGGAAACCGGAATATCTTCAGTTAAAATCTAGACAGAGGCATTCTCAGAAACTTCTTTGTAATGTGTGTCCTCAACTAACAGTGTACAACCTATCTTTTGATACAGCACGTTGGAAACACTCTTTTTATAGAATCTGCAAGTGGATATTTGGATAGCTCTAACGATTTCGTTGGAAACGGGAATACCTTCATAAAAAATCTAGACAGTGGCACTCTCAGAAACTGCTTTGTGATATCTGCATTCAAGCCACAGAGTTGAACATTTCCCTTCCTAAAGCAGGTTTGAAACACTCTTTTTGTCGTATGTGGAAGTGGACATTTGGAGCACTTTGACGCCTTTGGTGAAAAAGGAAATGTCTTCCCATCAAAACTAGACAGAAGCATTCTAAGAAACATTTTTGGGATGTATGTACTCAACTAACAGAGTTGAACCTTTCTCTTTATAGATCAGTTTTGGAAAGCTCTTTATGTGGAATCTGCAGATGGATATTCGGATAGCTCTGAGGATTTCGTTGGAGACGGGAATACATAAAGAAAGTAGACAGCAGCAATCTCAGGAGATTCTTTGTGATGTTTGCTTTTAAGTCACAGAGTTGAATATTCCCTTCAATAGAGCAGGTTTGAAACACTCTTTCTGTAGTATCTGGAAGTGGACATTTCGATCGATTTCAGGCCTATGTTGAAAAAGGAAATACCTTAACATAAAAACTAGACAGAAGCATTCTCAGAAACGTCTTTGTGATGTGTGTCCTCAACTAACAGAGTTCAACCTTTCTTATGATACAGCAGTTTGGAAACACTCTTTTTATAGAATTTGCAAGTTGATACATGGATAGCCCTAACTATTTCGTTGGAAACGGGAATATCTTCATATAAAACCTAGGCAGAAGCACTCTCAGAAACTACTTTGTGATATCTGCATTGATATCAGAGAGTTGAATATTCCCTTTCTAAGGGCAGGCTTGAAAGCGTCTTTTTGTGGAATCTGCAGGAGGATATTTGGATAGCTTGGAAGGTTACGTTGGAAACGGGATTACATATACAAAGTAGACAGCAGCATTCTCAGAAGCTTCTTTGTGATGTTTGCGTTTAAGTCACAGAGTTGAACGTTCCCTTTCATAGAGCAGGTTTCAAACCCTCTTTCTGCAGTATCTGGAAGTGGACATTTCGAGCGCTTTCAGGCCCATGGTGAACAAGGAAATATCTTCCCATGCAAACTAGACAGAAGCATTCGCAGAAACTTGTTTGTGATGTGTGTCCTCAACTCACGGAGTTGAACATTTCGTTTGACAGAGCAGTTTGGAAACACGATGTTTGTAGAATCTGCAAGTGGATATTTGGATGGCTTTGTGGATTTCGTTGGAAACGGGAGTATCTTCATAGACAACCTAGACAGTAACATTCTCAGAAACTGCTTTGTGATATCTGCATTCACGTCACAGAGTTGAACATTCCCTTTCATAGAGCAGGTTTGAAACACACTTTCTGTAGTATCTGGATGTGGGCACTTGGAGCGCTTGGACGCTTATGGTGAAAAAGGACAGATCGTCCCATAAAAACTGGACAGAAGCATTCTCACAAACTGCTTTGTGACGTATGTCTTCAACTAACAGAGTTGAACATTTCTATTCACAGAGCAGTTTTGAAAGACTCTTTTGGAGTATCTGCTAGTGGATATTTGGAGAGCTTTAAGGATTTCATTGGAAACCGGAATATCTTCAGGTAAAATCTAGACAGAGGCATTCTCAGAAACTTCTTCGCAATGTGTGTCCTCAACTAACAGTGTACAACCTATCTTTTGATACAGCACGTTGGAAACACTCTTTTTATAGAATCTGCAAGTGGATAGTTGGATAGCTCTAACGATTTCGTTGGAAACGGGAATACATTCATATAAAATCTAGACAGTGGCACTCTCAGAAACTGCTTTGTGATATCTGCATTCAAGCCACAGAGTTGAACATTTCCCTTCCTAAAGCAGGTTTGAAACACTCTTTCTGTCGTATCTGGAAGTGGACATTTGGAGCACTTTGACGCCTTTGGTGAAAAAGGAAATGTCTTCCCATGAAAACTAGACAGAAGCATTCTAAGAAACATTTTTGGGATATATGTACTCAATTAACAGAGTTGAACCTTTCTCTTTATAGATCAGTTTTGGAAAGCTCTTTATGTGGAATCTGCAGATGGATATTCGGATAGCTCTGAGGATTTCGTTGGAGACGGGAATACATAAAGAAAGTAGACAGCAGCATTCTCAGGAGATCCTTTGTGATGTTTGCTTTTAAGTCACAGAGTTGAATATTCCCTTCAATAGAGCAGGTTTGAAACACTCCTTCTGTAGTATCTGGAAGTGGACATTTTTATCGATTACAGGCCTATGTTGAAAAAGGAAATATCTTAACATAAAAACTAGACAGGAGCATTCTCAGAAACGTCTTTGTGATGTGTGTCCTCAACTAACAGAGTTCAACTTTTCTTATGATACAGCAGTTTGGAAACACTTTTTATAGAATTTGCAAGTTGATACATGGATAGCCCTAACTATTTCGTTGGAAACGGGAATATCTTCATATAAAACCTAGGCAGAAGCACTCTCAGAAACTACTTTGTGATATCTGCATTGATATCAGAGAGTTGAATATTCCCTTTCTAAGGGCAGGCTTGAAAGCGTCTTTTTGTGGAATCTGCAGGAGGATATTTGGATAGCTTGGAGGGTTACGTTGGAAACGGGATTACATATACAAAGTAGACAGCAGCATTCTCAGAAGCTTCTTTGTGATGTTTGCGTTTAAGTCACAGAGTTGAACGTTCCCTTTCGTAGAGCAGGTTTCAAACCCTCTTTCTGCAGTATCTGGAAGTGGACATTTCGAGCGCTTTCAGGCCCATGGTGAACAAGGAAATATCTTCCCATGCAAACTAGACAGAAGCATTCGCAGAAACTTGTTTGTGATGTGTGTCCTCAACTCACGGAGTTGAACATTTCGTTTGACAGAGCAGTTTGGAAACACGATTTTTGTAGAATCTGCAAGTGGATATTTGGATGGCTTTGTGGATTTCGTTGGAAACGGGAGTATCTTCATAGACAACCTAGACAGTAACATTCTCAGAAACGGCTTTGTGATATCCGCATTCACGTCACAGATTTGAACATTCCCTTTCATAGAGCAGGTTTGAAACACCCTTTCTGAAGTATCTGGATATGGGCACTTGGAGCTCTTGAACGTTTATGGTGAAAAAGGAAATATCGTCCCATAAAACCTAGACAGAAGCATTCTCACAAACTGCTTTGTGACGTATGTCGTCAGCTAACAGAGTTGAGCATTTCTATTCACAGAGCAGTTTTGAAAGACTCTTTTGGAGTATCTGCTAGTGGATATGTGGAGAGCTTTAAGGATTTCACTGGAAACCGGAATATCTTCAGGTAAAATCTAGACAGAGGCATTCTCAGAAACTTCTTCGTAATGTGTGTCCTCAACTAACAGTGTACAACCTATCTTTTGATACAGCACGTTGGAAACACTCTTTTTATAGAATCTGCAAGTGGATAGTTGGATAGCTCTAACGATTTCGTTGGAAACGGGAATACCTTCATATAAAATCTAGACAGTGGCACTCTCAAAAACTGCTTTGTGATATCTGCATTCAAGCCACAGAGTTGAACATTTCCCTTCCTAAAGCAGGTTTGAAACACTCTTTTTGTCGTATCTGGAAGTGGACATTTGGAGCACTTTGACGCCTTTGGTGAAAAAGGAAATGTCTTCCCATCAAAACTAGACAGAAGCATTCTAAGAAACATTTTTGGGATATATGTACTCAACTAACAGAGTTGAACCTTTCTCTTTATAGATCAGTTTTGGAAAGCTCTTTATGTGGAATCTGCAGATGGATATTCGGACACCTCTGAGGATTTCGTTGGAGACGGGAATACATAAAGAAAGTAGACAGCAGCATTCTCGGGAGATTCTTTGTGATGTTTGCTTTGAAGTCACAGAGTTGAATATTCCCTTCAATAGAGCAGGTTTGAAACACTCTTTCTGTAGTATCTGGAAGTGGCCATTTCGATCGATTTCAGGCCTATGTTGAAAAAGGAAATATCTCAACATAAAAACTAGACAGAAGCATTCTCAGAAACGTCTTTGTGATGTGTTTCCTCAACTAACAGAGTTCAACCTTTCTTATGATACAGCAGTTTGGAAACACTCTTTTTATAGAATTTGCAAGTTGATACATGGATAGCCCTAACTATTTCGTTGGAAACGGGAATATCTTCATATAAAACCTAGACAGAAGCACTCTCAGAAACTACTTTGTGATATCTGCATTGATAACAGAGCAGTTGAATATTCCCTTTCTAAGGGCAGGCTTGAAAGCGTCTTTTCGTGGAATCTGCAGGAGGATATTTGGATAGCTTTGAGGGTTACGTTGGAAACGGGATTACATATACAAAGTAGACAGCAGCATTCTCAGAAGCTTCTTTGTGATGTTTGCGTTTAAGTCACAGAGTTGAACGTTCCCTTTCATAGAGCAGGTTTCAAACCCTCTTTCTGCAGTATCTGGAAGTGGACATTTCGAGCGCTTTCAGGCCTATGGTGAACAAGGAAATATCTTCCCAAGCAAACTAGACAGAAGCATTCGCAGAAACTTGTTTGTGATGTGTGTCCTCAACTCACAGAGTTGAACATTTCGTTTGACAGAGCAGTTTGGAAACACGATTTTTGTAGAATCTGCAAGTGGATATTTGGATGGCTTTGTGGATTTCGTTGGAAACGGGAGTATCTTCATAGACAACCTAGACAGTAACATTCTCAGAAACGGCTTTGTGATATCCGCATTCACGTCACAGAGTTGAACATTCCCTTTCATAGAGCAGGTTTGAAACACCCTTTCTGAAGTATCTGGATGTGGGCACTTGGAGCTCTTGGACGCTTATGGTGAAAAAGGAAATATCGTCCCATAAAACCTAGACAGAAGCATTCTCACAAACTGCTTTGTGACGTATGTCGTCAGCTAACAGAGTTGAGCATTTCTATTCACAGAGCAGTTTTGAAAGACTCTTTTGGAGTATCTGCTAGTGGATATGTGGAGAGCTTTAAGGATTTCACTGGAAACCGGAATATCTTCAGGTAAAATCTAGACAGAGGCATTCTCAGAAACTTCTTCGTAATGTGTGTCCTCAACTAACAGTGTACAACCTATCTTTTGATACAGCACGTTGGAAACACTCTTTTTATAGAATCTGCAAGTGGATAGTTGGATAGCTCTAACGATTTCGTTGGAAACGGGAATACCTTCATATAAAATCTAGACAGTGGCACTCGCAGAAACTGCTTTGTGATATCTGCATTCAAGCCACAGAGTTGAACATTTCCCTTCCTAAAGCAGGTTTGAAACACTCTTTCTGTCGTATCTGGAAGTGGACATTTGGAGCACTTTGACGCCTTTGGTGAAAAAGGAAATGTCTTCCCATCAAAACTAGACAGAAGCATTCTAAGAAACATTTTTGGGATATATGTACTCAACTAACAGAGTTGAACCTTTCTCTTTATAGATCAGTTTTGGAAAGCTCTTTATGTGGAATCTGCAGATGGATATTCGGATAGCTCTGAGGATTTCGTTGGAGACGGGAATACATAAAGAAAGTAGACAGCAGCATTCTCGGGAGATTCTTTGTGATGTTTGCTTTTAAGTCACAGAGTTGAATATTCCCTTCAATAGAGCAGATTTGAAACACTCTTTCTGTAGTATCTGAAAGTGGACACTTCGATCGATTTCAGGGCTATGTTGAAAAAGGAAATATCGTAACATAAAAACTAGACAGAAGCATTCTCAGAAACGTCTTTGTGATGTGTGTCCTCAACTAACAGAGTTCAACCTTTCTTATGATACAGCAGTTTGGAAACACTCTTTTTATAGAATTTGCAAGTTGATACATGGATAGCCCTAACTATTTCGTTGGAAACGGGAATATCTTCATAGAAAACCGAGACAGAAGCACTCTCAGAAACTACTTTGTGATATCTGCGTTGATATCAGAGAGTTGAATATTCCCTTTCTAAGGGCAGGCTTGAAAGAGTGTTTTCGTGGAATCTGCAGGAGGATATTTGGATAGCTTTGAGGGTTACGTTGGAAACGGGATTACATATACCAAGTAGACAGCAGCATTCTCAGAAGCTTCTTTATGATGTTTGCGTTTAAGTCACAGAGTTGAACGTTCCCTTTCATAGAGCAGGTTTCAAACCCTCTTTCTGCAGTATCTGGAAGTGGACATTTCGAGCGCTTTCAGGCCTATGGTGAACAAGGAAATATCTTCCCATGCAAACTAGACAGAAGCATTCGCAGAAACTTGTTTGTGATGTGTGTCCTCAACTCACAGAGTTGAACATTTCGTTTGACAGAGCAGTTTGGAAACACGATTCTTGTAGAATCTGCAAGTGGATATTTGGATGGCTTTGTGGATTTCGTTGGAAACGGGAGTATCTTCATAGACAACCTAGACAGTAACATTCTCAGAAACGGCTTTGTGATATCCGCATTCACGTCACAGAGTTGAACATTCCCTTTCATAGAGCAGGTTTGAAACACCCTTTCTGAAGTATCTGGATGTGGGCACTTGGAGCTCTTGGACGCTTATGGTGAAAAAGGAAATATCGTCCCATAAAACCTAGACAGAAGCATTCTCACAAACTGCTTTGTGACGTATGTCTTCAACTAACAGAGTTGAACATTTCTATTCACAGAGCAGTTTTGAAAGACTCTTTTGGAGTATCTGCTAGTGGATATTTGGAGAGCTTTAAGGATTTCATTGGAAACCGGAATATCTTCAGGTAAAATCTAGACAGAGGCATTCTCAGAAACTTCTTTGTAATGTGTGTCCTCAACTAACAGTGTACAACCTATCTTTTGATACAGCACGTTGGAAACACTCTTTTTATAGAATCTGCAAGTGGATATTTGGATAGCTCTAACGATTTCGTTGGAAACGGGAATACCTTCATAAAAAATCTAGACAGTGGCACTCTCAGAAACTGCTTTGTGATATCTGCATTCAAGCCACAGAGTTGAACATTTCCCTTCCTAAAGCAGGTTTGAAACACTCGTTTTGTCGTATCTGGAAGTGGACATTTGGAGCACTTTGACACCTTTGGTGAAAAAGGAAATGTCTTCCCGTCAAAACTAGACAGAAGCATTCTAAGAAACATTTTTGGGATATATGTACTCAACTAACAGAGTTGAACCTTTCTCTTTATAGATCAGTTTTGGAAAGCTCTTTATGTGGAATCTGCAGATGGATATTCGGATAGCTCTGAGGATTTCTTTGGAGACGGGAATGCATAAAGAAAGTAGACAGCAGCATTCTCAGGAGATACTTTGTGATGTTTGCTTCTAAGTCACAGAGTTGAATATTCCCTTCAATAGAGCAGGTTTGAAACACTCTTTCTGTAGTATCTGGAAGTGGACATTTCGATCGATTTCACGCCTATGTTGAAAAAGGAAATACCTTAACATAAAAACTAGACAGAAGCATTCTCAGAAACGTCTTTGTGATGTGTGTCCTCAACTAACAGAGTTCAACCTTTCTTATGATACAGCAGTTTGGAAACACTCTTTTTATAGAATTTGCAAGTTGATACATGGATAGCCCTAACTATTTCGTTGGAAACGGGAATATCTTCATATAAAGCCTAGACAGAAGCACTCTCAGAAACTACTTTGTGATATCTGCATTCATATCACAGAGTTGAATATTCCCTTTCTAAGGGCAGGCTTGAAAGCGTCTTTTCGTGGAATCTGCAGGAGGATATTTGGATAGCTTTGAGGATTTCGTTGGAAACGGAATTACATATACAAAGTAGACAGCAGCATTCGCAGAAACATCTTTGTGATGTTTGCTTTTAAGTCACAGAGTTGAAGATTCCCTTTCATAGGGCAGGTTTCAAACCCTCTTTCTGCAGTATCTGGAAGTGGACATTTCGAGCGCTTTCAGGCTTATGGTGAACAAGGAAATATCTTCCCATGCAAACTAGACAGAAGCATTCGCAGAAACTTGTTTGTGATGTGTGTCCTCAACTCACAGAGATGAACATTTTGTTTGACAGAGCAGTTTGGAAACACGATTTTTGTAGAATCTACAAGTGGATATTCGGATAGCTTTGTGGATTTCGTTGGAAACGGGAGTATCTTCATAGAAAACCTAGACAGAAACATTCTCAGAAACTGCTTTGTGATATCCGCATTCACGTCACAGAGTTGAACATTCCCTTTCATAGAGCAGGTTTGAAACACACTTTCTGTAGTATCTGGATGTGGGCACTTGGAGCGCTTGGACGCTTATGGTGAAAAAGGAAATATCGTCCCATAAAAACTAGACAGAAGCATTCTCACAAACTGCTTTGAGACGTATGTCGTCAGCTAACAGAGTTGAACATTTCTATTCACAGAGCAGTTTTGAAAGACTCTTTTGGAGTATCTGCTAGTGGATATTTGGAGAGCTTTAAGGATTTCACCGGAAACCGGAATATCTTCAGGTAAAATCTAGACAGAGGCATTCTCAGAAACTTCTTTGTAATGTGTGTCCTCAACTAACAGTGTACAACCTATCTTTTGATACAGCACGTTGGAAACACTCTTTTTATAGAATCTGCAAGTGGATATTTGGATAGCTCTAACGATTTCGTTGGAAACGGGAATACCTTCATATAAAATCTAGACAGTGGCACTCGCAGAAACTGCTTTGTGATATCTGCATTCAAGCCACAGAGTTGAACATTTCCCTTCCTAAAGCAGGTTTGAAACACTCTTTCTGTCGTATCTGGAAGTGGACATTTGGAGCACTTTGACGCCTTTGGTGAAAAAGGAAATGTCTTCCCATCAAAACTAGACAGAAACATTCTAAGAAACATTTTTGGGATATATGTACTCAACTAACAGAGTTGAACATTTCTCTTTATAGATCAGTTTTGGAAAGCTCTTTATGTGGAATCTGCAGATGGATATTCGGATAGCTCTGAGGATTTCGTTGGAGACGGGAATACATAAAGAAAGTAGACAGCAGCATTCTCGGGAGATTCTTTGTGATGTTTGCTTTGAAGTCACAGAGTTGAATATTCCCTTCAATAGAGCAGGTTTGAAACACTCTTTCCGTAGTATCTGGAAGTGGACATTTCGATCGATTTCAGGCCTATGTTGAAAAAGGAAATATCTTAACATAAAAACTAGACAGAAGCATTCTCAGAAACGTCTTTGTGATGTGTGTCCTCAACTAACAGAGTTCAACCTTTCTTATGATACAGCAGTTGGGAAACACTCTTTTTATAGAATTTGCAAGTTGATACATGGATAGCCCTAACTATTTCGTTGGAAACGGGAATATCTTCACATAAAACCTAGACAGAAGCACTCTCAGAAACTACTTTGTGATATCTGCATTGATATCAGAGAGTTGAATATTCCCCTTCTAAGGGCAGGCTTGAAAGCGTCTTTTCGTGGAATCTGCAGGAGGGTATTTGGATAGCTTTGAGGGTTACGTTGGAAACGGGATTACATGTACAAAGCAGACAGCAGCATTCTCAGAAGCTGCTTTATGATGTTTGCTATCAAGTCACAGAGTTGAACGTTCCCTTTCATAGAGCAGGTTTCAAACCCTCTTTCTGCAGTATCTGGAAGTGGACATTTCGAGCGCTGTCAGGCCTATGGTGAACAAGGAAATATCTTCCCATGCAAACTAGACAGAAGCATTCGCAGAAACTTGTTTGTGATGTGTGTCCTCAACTCACAGAGTTGAACATTTCGTTTGACAGAGCAGTTTGGAGACACGATTTTTGTAGAATCTGCAAGTGGATATTTGGATGGCTTTGTGGATTTCGTTGGAAACGGGAGTATCTTCATAGAAAACCTAGACAGTAACATGCTCAGAAACTGTTTTGTGATATCTGCATTTACGTCACAGAGTTGAACATTCCCTTTCATAGAGCAGGTTTGAAACACACTTTCTGTAGTATCTGGATGTGGGCACTTGGAGCGCTTGGACGCTTATGGTGAAAAAGGACATATCGTCCATAAAAACTGGACAGAAGCATTCTCACAAACTGCTTTGTGACGTATGTCGTCAGCTAACAGAGTTGAGCATTTCTATTCACAGAGCAGTTTTGAAAGACTCTTTTGGAGTATCTGCTAGTGGATATGTGGAGAGCTTTAAGGATTTCACTGGAAACCGGAATATCTTCAGGTAAAATCTAGACAGAGGCATTCTCAGAAACTTCTTCGTAATGTGTGTCCTCAACTAACATTGTACAACCTATCTTTTGATACAGCACGTTGGAAACACTCTTTTTATAGAATCTGCAAGTGGATAGTTGGATAGCTCTAACGATTTCGTTGGAAACGGGAATACCTTCATATAAAATCTAGACAGTGGCACTCTCAGAAACTGCTTTGTGATATCTGCATTCAAGCCACAGAGTTGAACATTTCCCTTCCTAAAGCAGGTTTGAAACACTCTTTCTGTCGTATCTGGAAGTGGACATTTGGAGCACTTTGACGCCTTTTGTGAAAAAGGAAATGTCTTCCCATCAAAACTAGACAGAAGCATTCTAAGAAACATTTTTGGGATATATGTACTCAACTAACAGAGTTGAACCTTTCTCTTTATAGATCAGTTTTGGAAAGCTCTTTATGTGGAATCTGCAGATGGATATTCGGATAGCTCTGAGGATTTCGTTGGAGACGGGAATACATAAAGAAAGTAGACAGCAGCATTCTCAGGAGATTCTTTGTGATGTTTGCTTTTAAGTCACAGAGTTGAATATTCCCTTCAATAGAGCAGGTTTGAAACACTCTTTCTCTAGTATCTGGAAGTGAACATTTCGATCGATTACAGGCCTATGTTGAAAAAGGAAATATCTTAACATAAAAATTAGACAGAAGCATTCTCAGAAACGTCTTTGTGATGTGTGTCCTCAACTAACAGAGTTCAACCTTTCTTATGATACAGCAGTTTGGAAACACTCTTTTTATAGAATTTGCAAGTTGATACATGGATAGCCCTAACTATTTCGTTGGAAACGGGAATATCTTCATATAAAACCTAGGCAGAAACACTCTCAGAAACTACTTTGTGATATCTGCATTGATATCAGAGAGTTGAATATTCCCTTTCTAAGGGCAGGTTTGAAAGCGTCTTTTCGTGGAATCTGCAGGAGGATATTTGGATAGCTTTGAGGATTACGTTGGAAACGGGATTACATATACAAAGTAGACAGCAGCATTCTCAGAAGCTTCGTCATGATGTTTGCATTTAAGTCACAGAGTTGAACGTTCCCTTTCATAGAGCAGGTTTCAAACCCTCTTTCTGCAGTATCTGGAAGTGGACATTTCGAGCGCTTTCAGGCCTATGGTGAACAAGGAAATATCTTCCCATGCAAACTAGACAGAAGCATTCGCAGAAACTTGTTTGTGATGTGTGTCCTCAACTCACAGAGTTGAACATTTCGTTTGACAGAGCAGTTTGGAAACACGATTTTTGTAGAATCTGCAAGTGGATATTTGGATGGCTTTGTGGATTTCGTTGGAAACGGGAGTATCTTCATAGAAAACCTAGACAGTAACATGCTCAGAAACTGCTTTGTGATATCTGCATTCACGTCACAGAGTTGAACATTCCCTTTCATAGAGCAGGTTTGAAACACACTTTCTGTAGTATCTGGATGTGGGCACTTGGAGCGCTTGGACGCTTATGGTGAAAAAGGACATATCGTCCCATAAAAACTGGACAGAAGCATTCTCACAAACTGCTTTGTGACGTATGTCTTCAACTAACAGAGTTGAACATTTCTATTCACAGAGCAGTTTTGAAAGACTCTTTTGGAGTATCTGCTAGTGGATATTTGGAGAGCTTTAAGGATTTCATTGGAAACCGGAATATCTTCAGGTAAAATCTAGACAGAGGCATTCTCAGAAACTTCTTTGTAATGTGTGTCCTCAACTAACAGTGTACAACCTATCTTTTGATACAGCACGTTGGAAACACTCTTTTTATAGAATCTGCAAGTGGATATTTGGATAGCTCTAACGATTTCGTTGGAAACGGGAATACCTTCATATAAAATCTAGACAGTGGCACTCGCAGAAACTGCTTTGTGATATCTGCATTCAAGCCACAGAGTTGAACATTTCCCTTCCTAAAGCAGGTTTGAAACACTCTTTCTGTCGTATCTGGAAGTGGACATTTGGAGCACTTTGACGCCTTTGGTGAAAAAGGAAATGTCTTCCCATCAAAACTAGACAGAAGCATTCTAAGAAACATTTTTGGGATATATGTACTCAACTAACAGAGTTGAAGCTTTCTCTTTATAGATCAGTTTTGGAAAGCTCTTTATGTGGAATCTGCAGATGGATATTCGGATAGCTCTGAGGATTTCGTTGGAGACGGGAATACATAAACAATCTAGACAGCAGCATTCTCGGGAGATTCTTTGTGATGTTTGCTTTGAAGTCACAGAGTTGAATATTCCCTTCAATAGAGCAGGTTTGAAACACTCTTTCTGTAGTATCTGGAAGTGGCCATTTCGATCGATTTCAGGCCTATGTTGAAAAAGGAAATATCTCTACATAAAAACTAGACAGAAGCATTCTCAGAAACGTCTTTGTGATGTGTGTCCTCAACTAACAGAGTTCAACCTTTCTTATGATACAGCAGTTTGGAAACACTCTTTTTATAGAATTTGCAAGTTGATACATGGATAGCCCTAACTATTTCGTTGGAAACGGGAATATCTTCATATAAAACCTAGGCAGAAGCACTCTCAGAAACTACTTTGTGATATCTGCATTGATATCAGAGAGTTGAATATTCCCTTTCTAAGGGCAGGCTTGAAAGCGTCTTTTCGTGGAATCTGCAGGAGGATATTTGGATAGCTTTGAGGGTTACGTTGGAAACGGGATTACATGTACAAAGCAGACAGCAGCATTCTCAGAAGCTTCTTTATGATGTTTGCGTTTAAGTCACACAGTTGAACGTTCCCTTTCACAGAGCAGGTTTCAAACCCTCTTTCTGCAGTATCTGGAAGTGGACATTTCGAGTGCTTTCTGGACTATGGTGAACAAGGAAATATCTTCCCATGCAAACTAGACAGAAGCATTCGCAGAAACTTGTTTGTGATGTGTGTCCTCAACTCACAGAGTTGAACATTTCGTTTGACAGAGCAGTTTGGAAACACGATTTTTGTAGAATCTGCAAGTGGATATTTGGATGGCTTTGTGGATTTCGTTGGAAACGGGAGTATCTTCATAGACAACCTAGACAGTGTAACATGCTCAGAAACTGCTTTGTGATATCTGCATTCACGTCACAGAGTTGAACATTCCGTTTCATAGAGCAGGTTTGAAACACACTTTCTGTAGTATCTGGATGTGGGCACTTGGAGCGCTTGGACGCTTATGGTGAAAAAGGACATATCGTCCCATAAAAACTGGACAGAAGCATTCTCACAAACTGCTTTGTGACGTATGTCTTCAACTAACAGAGTTGAACATTTCTATTCACAGAGCAGTTTTGAAAGACTCTTTTGGAGTATCTGCTAGTGGATATTTGGAGAGCTTTAAGGATTTCATTGGAAACCGGAATATCTTCAGGTAAAATCTAGACAGAGGCATTCTCAGAAACTTCTTCGTAATGTGTGCCCTCAACTAACAGTGTACAACCTATCTTTTGATACAGCACGTTGGAAACACTCTTTTTATAGAATCTGCAAGCGGATAGTTGGATAGCTCTAACGATTTCGTTGGAAACGGGAATATCTTCATATAAAATCTAGACAGTGGCACTCTCAGAAACTGCTTTGTGATATCTGCATTCAAGCCACAGAGTTGAACATTTCCCTTCCTAAAGCAGGTTTGAAACACTCTTTTTGTCGTATCTGGAAGTGGACATTTGGAGCACTTTCATGCCTTTGGTGAAAAAAGAAAGGTCTTCCCATCAAAACTAGACAGAAGCATTCTAAGAAACATTTTTGGGATATATGTACTGAACTAACAGAGTTGAACCTTTCTCTTTATAGATCAGTTTTGGAAAGCTCTTTATGTGGAATCTGCAAATGGATATTCGGATAGCTCTGAGGATTTCGTTGGAGACGGGAATACATAAAGAAAGTAGACAGCAGCATTCTCGGGAGATTCTTTGTGATGTTTGCTTTTAAGTCACAGAGTTGAATATTCCCTTCAATAGAGCAGGTTTGAAACACTCTTTCTGTAGTATCTGGAAGTGGCCATTTCGATCGATTTCAGGCCTATGTTGATAAAGGAAATATCTTAACATAAAAACTAGACAGAAGCATTCTCAGAAACGTCTTTGTGATGTGTGTCCTCAACTAACAGAGTTCAACCTTTCTTATGATACAGCAGTTGGGAAACACTCTTTTTATAGAATTTGCAAGTTGATACATGGATAGCCCTAACTATTTCGTTGGAAACGGGAATATCTTCACATAAAACCTAGACAGAAGCACTCTCAGAAACTACTTTGTGATATCTGCATTGATATCAGAGAGTTGAATATTCCCTTTCTAAGGGCAGGCTTGAAAGCGTCTTTTCGTGGAATCTGCGGGAGGATATTTGGATAGCTTTGAGGGTTACGTTGGAAACGGGATTACATATACAAAGTAGACAGCAGCATTCTCAGAAGCTTCTTTGTGATATTTGCGTTTAAGTCACAGAGTTGAACGTTCCCTTTCATAGAGCAGGTTTCAAACCCTCTTTCTGCAGTATCTGGAAGTGGACATTTCGAGCGCTTTCAGGCCCATGGTGAACAAGGAAATATCTTCCCATGCAAACTAGACAGAAGCATTCGCAGAAACTTGTTTGTGATGTGTGTCCTCAACTCACGGAGTTGAACATTTCGTTTGACAGAGCAGTTTGGAAACACGATTTTTGTAGAATCTGCTAGTGGATATTTGGATGGCTTTGTGGATTTCGTTGGAAACGGGAGTATCTTCATAGACAACCTAGACAGTAACATGCTCAGAAACTGCTTTGTGATATCTGCATTCACGTCACAGAGTTGAACATTCCCTTTCATAGAGCAGGTTTGAAACACACTTTCTGTAGTATCTGGATGTGGGCACTTGGAGCACTTGGACGCTTATGGTGAAAAAGGACAGATCGTCCCATAAAAACTGGACAGAAGCATTCTCACAAACTGCTTTGTGACGTATGTCTTCAACTAACAGAGTTGAACATTTCTATTCACAGAGCAGTTTTGAAAGACTCTTTTGGAGTATCTGCTAGTGGATATTTGGAGAGCTTTAAGGATTTCATTGGAAACCGGAATATCTTCAGGTAAAATCTAGACAGAGGCATTCTCAGAAACTTCTTTGTAATGTGTGTCCTCAACTAACAGTGTACAACCTATCTTTTGATACAGCACGTTGGAAACACTCTTTTTATAGAATCTGCAAGTGGATAGTTGGATAGCTCCAACGATTTCGTTGGAAACGGGAAGACCTTCATATAAAATCTAGACAGTGGCACTCTCAGAAACTGCTTTGTGATATCTGCATTCAAGCCACAGAGTTGAACATTTCCCTTCTTAAAGCAGGTTTGAAACACTCTTTTTGTTGTATCTGGAAGTGGACATTTGGAGCACTTTGACGCCTTTGGTGAAAAAGGAAATGTCTTCCCATCAAAACTAGACAGAAGCATTCTAAGAAACATTTTTGGGATATAGGTACTCAACTAACAGAGTTGAACCTTTCTCTTTATAGATCAGTTTTGGAAAGCTCTTTATGTGGAATCTGCAGATGGATATTCGGATAGCTCTGAGGATTTCGTTGGAGACGGGAATACATAAAGAAAGTAGACAGCAGCATTCTCAGGAGATTCTTTGTGATGTTTGCTTTTAAGTCACAGAGTTGAATATTCCCTTCAATAGAGCAGGCTTGAAACACTCTTTCTGTAGTATCTGGAAGTGGACATTTCGATCGATTTCAGGCCTATGTTGAAAAAGGAAATACCTTAACATAAAAACTAGACAGAAGCATTCTCAGAAACGTCTTTGTGATGTGTGTCCTCAACTAACAGAGTTCAACCTTTCTTATGATACAGCAGTTTGGAAACACTCTTTTTATAGAATTTGCAAGTTGATACATGGATAGCCCTAACTATTTCGTTGGAAACGGGAATATCTTCATATAAAACCTAGGCAGAAGCACTCTGAGAAACTACTTTGTGATATCTGCATTGATATCAGAGAGTTGAATATTCCCTTTCTAAGGGCAGGCTTGAAAGCGTCTTTTCGTGGAATCTGCAGGAGGATATTTGGATAGCTTTGAGGGTTACGTTGGAAACGGGATTACATGTACAAAGCAGACAGCAGCATTCTCAGAAGCTTCTTTATGATGTTTGCGTTCAAGTCACAGAGTTGAACGTTCCCTTTCATAGAGCAGGTTTCAAACCCTCTTTCTGCAGTATCTGGAAGTGGACATTTCGAGCGCTTTCAGGCCTATGGTGAACAAGGAAATATCTTCCCATGCAAACTAGACAGAAGCATTCGCAGAAACTTGTTTGTGATGTGTGTCCTCAACTCACAGAGTTGAACATTTCGTTTGACAGAGCAGTTTGGAAACACGATTTTTGTAGAATCTGCAAGTGGATATTTGGATGGCTTTGTGGATTTCGTTGGAAACGGGAGTATCTTCATAGAAAACCTAGACAGTAACATGCTCAGAAACTGTTTTGTGATATCTGCATTCACGTCACAGAGTTGAACATTCCCTTTCATAGAGCAGGTTTGAAACACCCTTTCTGAAGTATCTGGATGTGGGCACTTGGAGCTCTTGGACGCTTATGGTGAAAAAGGACATATCGTTCCATTAAAAACTGGACAGAAGCATTCTCACAAACTGCTTTGTGACGTATGTCTTCAACTAACAGAGTTGAACATTTCTATTTACAGAGCAGTTTTGAAAGACTCTTTTGGAGTATCTGCTAGTGGATATTTGGAGAGCTTTAAGGATTTCAGTGGAAACCGGAATGTCTTCAGGTAAAATGCTAGACAGAGGCATTCTCAGAAACTTCTTCGTAATGTGTGTCCTCAACTAACAGTGTACAACCTATCTTTTGATACAGCACGTTGGAAACACTCTTTTTATAGAATCTGCAAGTGGATAGTTGGATAGCTCTAACGATTTCGTTGGAAACGGGAATACCTTCATATACAATCTAGACAGTGGCACTCTCAGAAACTGCTTTGTGATATCTGCATTCAAGCCACAGAGTTGAACATTTCCCTTCCTAAAGCAGGTTTGAAACACTCTTTTTGTCGTATCTGGAAGTGGACATTTGGAGCACTTTGGCGCCTTTGGTGAAAAAGGAAATGTCTTCCCATGAAAACTAGACAGAAGCATTCTAAGAAACATTTTTGGGATATATGTACTCAACTAACAGAGTTGAACCTTTCTCTTTATAGATCAGTTTTGGAAAGCTCTTTATGTGGAAACTGCAAATGGATATTCGGATAGCTCTGAGGATTTCGTTGGAGACGGGAATACATAAAGAAAGTAGACAGCAGCATTCTCAGGAGATTCTTTGTGATGTTTGCTTTTAAGTCACAGAGTTGAATATTCCCTTCAATAGAGCAGGTTTGAAACACTCTTTCTCTAGTATCTGGAAGTGAACATTTCGATCGATTACAGTCCTATGTTGAAAAAGGAAATATCTTAACATAAAAATTAGACAGAAGCATTCTCAGAAACGTCTTTGTGATGTGTGTCCTCAACTAACAGTGTTCAACCTTTCTTATGATACAGCAGTTTGGAAACACTCTTTTTATAGAATTTGCAAGTTGATACATGGATAGCCCTAACCATTTCCTTGGAAACGGGAATATCTTCATATAAAACCTAGCCAGAAGCACTCTCAGAAACTACTTTGTGATATCTGCATTGATATCAGAGAGTTGAATATTCCCTTTCTAAGGGAAGGCTTGAAAGCGTCTTTTCGTGGAATCTGCAGGAGGATATTTGGATAGCTTTGAGGGTTATGTTGGAAACGGGATTACATATACAAAGTAGACAGCAGCATTCTCAGAAGCTTCTTTGTGATGTTTGCGTTTAAGTCACAGAGTTGAACGTTCCCTTTCATAGAGCAGGTTTCAAACCCTCTTTCTGCAGTATCTGGAAGTGGACATTTCGAGCGCTTTCAGGCCTATGGTGAACAAGGAAATATCTTCCCAAGCAAACTAGACAGAATCATTCGCAGAAACTTGTTTGTGATGTGTGTCCTCAACTCACAGAGTTGAACATTTCGTTTGACAGAGCAGTTTGGAAACACGATTTTTGTAGAATCTGCAAGTGGATATTTGGATGGCTTTGTGGATTTCGTTGGAAACGGGAGTATCTTCATAGACAACCTAGACAGTAACATTCTCAGAAACTGCTTTGTGATATCTGCATTCACGACACAGAGTTGAACATTCCCTTTCATAGAGCAGGTTTGAAACACACTTTCTGTAGTATCTGGATGTGGGCACTTGGAGCGCTTGGACGCTTATGGTGAAAAAGGACATATCGTCCCATAAAAACTGGACAGAAGCATTCTCACAAACTGCTTTGTGACGTATGTCTTCAACTAACAGAGTTGAACATTTCTATTCACAGAGCAGTTTTGAAAGACTCTTTTGGAGTATCTGCTAGTGGATATTTGGAGAGCTTTAAGGATTTCATTGGAAACCGGAATATCTTCAGGTAAAATCTAGACAGAGGCATTCTCAGAAACTTCTTTGTAATGTGTGTCCTCAACTAACAGTGTACAACCTATCTTTTGATACAGCACGTTGGAAACACTCTTTTTATAGAATCTGCAAGTGGATATTTGGATAGCTCTAACGATTTCGTTGGAAACGGGAATCCCTACATATAAAATCTAGACAGTGGCACTCGCAGAAACTGCTTTGTGATATCTGCATTCAAGCCACAGAGTTGAACATTTCCCTTCCTAAAGCAGGTTTGAAACACTCTTTATGTCGTATCTGGAAGTGGACATTTGGAGCACTTTGACGCCTTTGGTGAAAAAGGAAATGTCTTCCCATCAAAACTAGACAGAAGCTTTCTAAGAAACATTTTTGGGATATATGTACTCAACTAACAGAGTTGAACCTTTCTCTTTACAGATCAGTTTTGGAAAGCTCTTTATGTGGAATCTGCAGATGGATATTCGGATAGCTCTGAGGATTTCGTTGGAGACGGGAATACATAAAGAAAGTAGACAGCAGCATTCTCAGGAGATTCTTTGTGATGTTTGCTTCTAAGTCACAGAGTTGAATATTCCCTTCAATAGAGCAGGTTTTAAACACTCTTTCTGTAGTATCTGGAAGTGGACATTTCGATCGATTTCAGGCCTATGTTGAAAAAGGAAATACCTTAACATAAAAACTAGACAGAAGCATTCTCAGAAACGTCTTTGTGATGTGTGTCCTCAACTAACAGAGTTCAACCTTTCTTATGATACAGCAGTTTGGAAACACTCATTTTACAGAATTTGCAAGTTGATATATGGATAGCCCTAACTATTTCGTTGGAAACGGGAATATCTTCATATAAAACCTAGACAGAAGCATTCTCAGAAACTACTTTGTGATATCTGCATTGATTTCAGAGAGTTGAATATTCCCTTTCTAAGGGCAGGCTTGAAAGCGTCTTTTCGTGGAATCTGCAGGAGGATATTTGGATAGCTTTGAGGGTTACGTTGGAAACGAGATTACATATACAAAGTAGACAGCAGCATTCTCAGAAAGCTTCTTTGTGATGTTTGCGTTTAAGTCACAGAGTTGAACGTTCCCTTTCATAGAGCAGGTTTCAAACCCTCTTTCTGCAGTATCTGGAAGTGGACATTTCGAGCGCTTTCAGGCCCATGGTGAACAAGGAAATATCTTCCCAAGCAAACTAGACAGAAGCATTCGCAGAAACTTGTTTGTGATGTGTGTCCTCAACTCACGGAGTTGAACATTTCGTTTGACAGAGCAGTTTGGAAACACGATTTTTGTAGAATCTGCAAGTGGATATTTGGATGGCTTTGTGGATTTCGTTGGAAACGGGAGTATCTTCACAGACAACCTAGACAGTAACATGCTCAGAAACTGTTTTGTGATATCTGCATTCACGTCACAGAGTTGAACATTCCCTTTCATAGAGCAGGTTTGAAACACACTTTCTGTAGTATCTGGATGTGGGCACTTGGAGCTCTTGGACGCTTATGGTGAAAAAGGACATATCGTCCCATAAAAACTGGACAGAAGCATTCTCACAAACTGCTTTGTGACGTATGTCTTCAACTAACAGAGTTGAACATTTCTATTCACAGAGCAGTTTTGAAAGACTCTTTTGGAGTATCTGCTAGTGGATATTTGGAGAGCTTTAAGGATTTCATTGGAAACCGGAATATCTTCAGGTAAAATCTAGACAGAGGCATTCTCAGAAACTTCTTCGTAATGTGTGTTCTCAACTAACAGTGTACAACCTATCTTTTGATACAGCACGTTGGAAACACTCTTTTTATAGAATCTGCAAGTGGATAGTTGGATAGCTCTAAAGATTTCGTTGGAAACGGGAATACCTTCAAATAAAATCTAGACAGTGGCACTCTCAGAAACTGCTTTGTGATATCTGCATTCAAGCCACAGAGTTGAACATTTCCCTTCCTAAAGCAGGTTTGAAACACTCTTTTTGTCGTATCTGGAAGTGGACATTTGGAGCACTTTGACGCCTTTGGTGAAAAAGGAAATGTCTTCCCATCAAAACTAGACAGAAGCATTCTAAGAAACATTTTTGGGATATATGTACTCAACTAACAGAGTTGAACCTTTCTCTTTATAGATCAGTTTTGGAAAGCTCTTTATGTGGAATCTGCAGATGGATATTCGGATAGCTCTGAGGATTTCGTTGGAGACGGGAATACATAAAGAAAGTAGACAGCAGCATTCTCAGGAGATTCTTTGTGATGTTTGCTTTTAAGTCACAGAGTTGAATATTCCCTTCAATAGAGCAGGTTTGAAACACTCTTTCTGTAGTATCTGGAAGTGGACATTTCGATCGATTTCAGGCCTATGTTGAAAAAGGAAATACCTTAACATAAAAACTAGACAGAAGCATTCTCAGAAACGTCTTTGTGATGTGTGTCCTCAACTAACAGAGTTCAACCTTTCTTATGATACAGCAGTTTGGAAACACTCTTTTTATAGAATTTGCAAGTTGATACATGGATAACCCTAACTATTTCGTTGGAAACGGGAATATCTTCATATAAAGCCTAGACAGAAGCACTCTCAGAAACTACTTTGTGATATCTGCATTGATATCAGAGAGTTGAATATTCCCTTTCTAAGGGCAGGCTTGAAAGCGTCTTTTTGTGGAATCTGCAGGAGGATATTTGGATAGCTTGGAGGGTTACGTTGGAAACGGGATTACATATACAAAGTAGACAGCAGCATTCTCAGAAGCTTCTTTGTGATGTTTGCGTTTAAGTCACAGAGTTGAACGTTCCCTTTCATAGAGCAGGTTTCAAACCCTCTTTCTGCAGTATCTGGAAGTGGACATTTCGAGCGCTTTCAGGCCCATGGTGAACAAGGAAATATCTTCCCATGCAAACTAGACAGAAGCATTCGCAGAAACTTGTTTGTGATGTGTGTCCTCAACTCACGGAGTTGAACATTTCGTTTGACAGAGCAGTTTGGAAACACGATTTTTGTAGAATCTGCAAGTGGATATTTGGATGGCTTTGTGGATTTCGTTGGAAACGGGAGTATCTTCATAGACAACCTAGACAGTAACATGCTCAGAAACTGTTTTGTGATATCTGCATTCACGTCACAGTGTTGAACATTCCCTTTCATAGAGCAGGTTTGAAACACACTTTCTGTAGTATCTGGATGTGGGCACTTGGAGCGCTTGGACGCTTGTGGTGAAAAAGGACATATCGTCCCATAAAAACTGGACAGAAGCATTCTCACAAACTGCTTTGTGACGTATGTCTTCAACTAACAGAGTTGAACATTTCTATTCACAGAGCAGTTTTGAAAGACTCTTTTGGAGTATCTGCTAGTGGATATTTGGAGAGCTTTAAGGATTTCATTGGAAACCGGAATATCTTCAGGTAAAATCTAGACAGAGGCATTCTCAGAAACTTCTTCGTCATGTGTGTCCTCAACTAACAGTGTACAACCTATCTTTTGATACAGCACGTTGGAAACACTCTTTTTATAGAATCTGCAAGTGGATAGTTGGATAGCTCTAACGATTTCGTTGGAAACGGGAATACCTTCATATAAAATCTAGACAGTGGCACTCGCAGAAACTGCTTTGTGATATCTGCATTCAAGTCACAGAGTTGAACATTTCCCTTCCTAAAGCAGGTTTGAAACACTCTTTCTGTCGTATCTGGAAGTGGACATTTGGAGCACTTTGACGCCTTTGGTGAAAAAGGAAATGTCTTCCCATCAAAACTAGACAGAAGCATTCTAAGAAACATTTTTGGGATATATGTACTCAACTAAAAGAGTTGAACCTTTCTCTTTATAGATCAGTTTTGGAAAGCTCTTTATGTGGAATCTGCAGATGGATATTCGGATAGCTCTGAGGATTTCGTTGGAGACGGGAATACATAAAGAAAGTAGACAGCAGCATTCTCGGGAGATCCTTTGTGATGGTTGCTTTTAAGTCACAGAGTTGAATATTCCCTTCAATAGAGCAGGTTTGAAACACTCTTTCTGTAGTATCTGGAAGTGGCCATTTCGATCCATTTCAGGCCTATGTTGAAAAAGGAAATATCTCTACATAAAAACTAGACAGAAGCATTCTCAGAAACGTCTTTGTGATGTGTGTCCTCAACTAACAGAGTTCAACCTTTCTTATGATACAGCAGTTGGGAAACACTCTTTTTATAGAATTTGCAAGCTGATACATGGATAGCCCTAACTATTTCGTTGGAAACGGGAATATCTTCACATAAAACCTAGACAGAAGCACTCTCAGAAACTACTTTGTGATATCTGCATTGATATCAGAGAGTTGAATATTCCCTTTCTAAGGGCAGGCTTGAAAGCGTCTTTTCGTGGAATCTGCAGGAGGATATTTGGATAGCTTTGAGGGTTACGTTGGAAACGGGATTACATGTACAAAGCAGACAGCAGCATTCTCCGAAGCTTCTTTGTGATGTTTGCGTTTAAGTCACAGAGTTGAACGTTCCCTTTCATAGAGCAGGTTTCAAACCCTCTTTCTGCAGTATCTGGAAGTGGACATTTCGAGTGCTTTCAGGCCCGTGGTGAACAAGGAAATATCTTCCCATGCAAACTAGACAGAAGCATTCGCAGAAACTTGTTTGTGATGTGTGTCCTCAACTCACAGAGTTGAACATTTCGTTTGACAGAGCAGTTTGGAAACACGATTTTTGTAGAATCTGCAAGTGGATATTTGGATGGCTTTGTGGATTTCGTTGGAAACGGGAGTATCTTCATAGAAAACCTAGACAGTAACATTCTCAGAAACGGCTTTGTGATATCCGCATTCACGTCACAGAGTTGAACATTCCCTTTCATAGAGCAGGTTTGAAACACCCTTTCTGTAGTATCTGGATGTGGGCACTTGGAGCTCTTGGACGCTTATGGTGAAAAAGGAAATATCGTCCCATAAAACCTAGACAGAAGCATTCTCACAAACTGCTTTGTGACATATGTCGTCAGGTAACAGAGTTGAGCATTTCTATTCACAGAGCAGTTTTGAAGGACTCTTTTGGAGGATCTGCTAGTGGATATGTGGAGAGCTTTAAGGATTTCACTGGAAACCGGAATATCTTCAGGTAAAATCTAGACAGAGGCATTCTCAGAAACTTCTTTGTAATGTGTGTCCTCAACTAACAGTGTACAACCTATCTTTTGATACAGCACGTTGGAAACACTCTTTTTATAGAATCTGCAAGTGGATAGTTGGATAGATCTAACGATTTCGTTGGAAACGGGAATAACTTCATATAAAATCTAGACAGTGGCACTCTCAGAAACTGCTTTGTGATATCTGCATTCAAGCCACAGAGTTGAACATTTCCCTTCCTAAATCAGGTTTGAAACACTCTTTCTGTCGTATCTGGAAGTGGACATTTGGAGCACTTTGACGCCTTTGGTGAAAAAGGAAATGTCTTCCCATGAAAACTAGACAGAAGCATTCTAAGAAACATTTTTGGGATATATGTACTCAAGTAACAGAGTTGAACCTTTCTCTTTACAGATCAGTTTTGGAAAGCTCTTTATGTGGAATCTGCAGATGGATATTCGGATAGCTCTGAGGATTTCGTTGGAGACGGGAATACATAAAGAAAATAGACAGCAGCATTCTCGGGAGATTCTTTGTGATGTTTGCTTTTCAGTCACAGAGTTGAATATTCCCTTCAATAGAGCAGGTTTGAAACACTCTTTCTGTAGTATCTGGAAGTGGCCATTTCGATCGATTTCAGGCCTATGTTGAAAAAGGAAATATCTTAACATAAAAACTAGACAGAAGCATTCTCAGAAACGTCTTTGTGATGTGTGTCCTCAACTAACAGAGTTCAACCTTTCTTATGATACAGCAGTTGGGAAACACTCTTTTTATAGAATTTGCAAGTTGATACATGGATAGCCCTAACTATTTCGTTGGAAACGGGAATATCTTCACATAAAACCTAGACAGAAGCACTCTCAGAAACTACTTTGTGATATCTGCATTGATATCAGAGAGTTGAATATTCCCTTTCTAAGGGCAGGCTTGAAAGCGTATTTTCGTGGAATCTGCAGGAGGATATTTGGATAGCTTTGAGGGTTACGTTGGAAACGGGATTACATGTACAAAGCAGACAGCAGCATTCTCAGAAGCTTCTTTATGATGTTTGCGTTCAAGTCACAGAGTTGAACGTTCCCTTTCATAGAGCAGGTTTCAATCCCTCTTTCTGCAGTATCTGGAAGTGGACATTTCGAGCGCTTTCAGGCCTATGGTGAACAAGGAAATATCTTCCCATGCAAACTAGACAGAAGCATTCGCAGAAACTTGTTTGTGATGTGTGTCCTCAACTCACAGAGTTGAACATTTCGTTTGACAGAGCAGTTTGGAAACACGATTTTTGTAGAATCTGCAAGTGGATATTTGGATGGCTTTGTGGATTTCGTTGGAAACGGGAGTATCTTCATAGAAAACCTAGACAGTAACATGCTCAGAAACTGCTTTGTGATATCTGCATTCACGTCACAGAGTTGAACATTCCCTTTCATAGAGCAGGTTTGAAACACACTTTCTGTAGTATCTGGATGTGGGCACTTGGAGCGCTTGGACGCTTATGGTGAAAAAGGACATATCGTCCCATAAAAACTGGACAGAAGCATTCTCACAAACTGCTTTGTGACGTATGTCGTCAGCTAACAGAGTTGAGCATTTCTATTCACAGAGCAGTTTTGAAAGACTCTTTTGGAGTATCTGCTAGTGGATATGTGGAGAGCTTTAAGGATTTCACCGGAAACCGGAATATCTTCAGGTAAAATCTAGACACAGGCATTCTCAGAAACTTCTTTGTAATGTGTGTCCTCAACTAACAGTGTACAACCTATCTTTTGATACAGCACGTTGGAAACACTCTTTTTATAGAATCTGCAAGTGGATATTTGGATAGCTCTAACGATTTCGTTGGAAACGGGAATACCTTCATAAAAAATCTAGACAGTGGCACTCTCAGAAACTGCTTTGTGATATCTGCATTCAAGCCACAGAGTTGAATATTTCCCTTCCTAAAGCAGGTTTGAAACACTCTTTTTGTCGTATCTGGAAGTGGACATTTGGAGCACTTTGACGCCTTTGGTGAAAAAGGAAATGTCTTCCCATGAAAACTAGACAGAAGCATTCTAAGAAACATTTTTGGGATATATGTACTGAACTAACAGAGTTGAACCTTTCTCTTTATAGATCAGTTTTGGAAAGCTCTTTATGTGGAATCTGCAGATGGATATTCGAATAGCTCTGAGGATTTCGTTGGAGACGGGAATACATAAAGAAAGTAGACAGCAGCATTCTCGGGAGATTCTTTGTGATGTTTGCTTTTCAGTCACAGAGTTGAATATTCCCTTCAATAGAGCAGGTTTGAAACACTCTTTCCGTAGTATCTGGAAGTGGACATTTCGATCGATTTCAGGCCTATGTTGAAAAAGGAAATATCTTAACATAAAAACTAGACAGAAGCATTCTCAGAAACGTCTTTGTGATGTGTGTCCTCAACTAACAGAGTTCAACCTTTCTTATGATACAGCAGTTTGGAAACACTCTTTTTATAGAATTTGCAAGTTGATACATGGATAGCCCTAACTATTTCGTTGGAAACGGGAATATCTTCATATAAAACCTAGACAGAAGCACTCTGAGAAACTACTTTGTGATATCTGCATTGATATCAGAGAGTTGAATATTCCCTTTCTAAGGGCAGGCTTGAAAGCGTCTTTTCGTGGAATCTGCAGGAGGATATTTGGATAGCTTTGAGGGTTACGTTGGAAACGGGATTACATGTACAAAGCAGACAGCAGCATTCTCAGAAGCTTCTTTGTGATGTTTGCGTTTAAGTCACAGAGTTGAACGTTCCCTTTCATAGAGCAGGTTTCAAACCCTCTTTCTGCAGTATCTGGAAGTGGACATTTCGAGCGCTTTCAGGCCCATGGTGAACAAGGAAATATCTTCCCATGCAAACTAGACAGAAGCATTCGCAGAAACTTGTTTGTGATGTGTGTCCTCAACTCACAGATTTGAACATTTCGTTTGACAGAGCAGTTTGGAAACACGATTTTTGTAGAATCTGCAAGTGGATATTTGGATGGCTTTGTGGATTTCGTTGGAAACGGGAGTATCTTCATAGACAACCTAGACAGTAACAGTCTCAGAAACTGCTTTGTGATATCTGCATTCACGTCACAGAGTTGAACATTCCCTTTCATAGAGCAGGTTTGAAACACACTTTCTGTAGTATCTGGATGTGGGCACTTGGAGCGCTTGGACGCTTATGGTGAAAAAGGACATATCGTCCCATAAAAACTGGACAGAATCATTCTCACAAACTGCTTTGTGACCGTATGTCTTCAAATAACAGAGTTGAACATTTCTATTCACAGAGCAGTTTTGAAGGACTCTTTTGGAGTATCTGCTAGTGGATATTTGGAGAGCTTTAAGGATTTCATTGGAAACCGGAATATCTTCAGGTAAAATCTAGACAGAGGCATTCTCAGAAACTTCTTTGTAATGTGTGTCCTCAACTAACAGTGTACAACCTATCTTTTGATACAGCACGTTGGAAACACTCTTTTTATAGAATCTGCAAGTGGATAGTTGGATAGCTCTAACGATTTCGTTGGAAACGGGAATACCTTCATATAAAATCTAGACAGTGGCACTCTCAGAAACTGCTTTGTGATATCTGCATTCAAGCCACAGAGTTGAACATTTCCCTTCCTAAAGCAGGTTTGAAACACTCTTTTTGTCGTATCTGGAAGTGGACATTTGGAGCACTTTGACGCCTTTGGTGAAAAAGGAAATGTCTTCCCATGAAAACTAGACAGAAACATTCTAAGAAACATTTTTGGGATATATGTACTCAACTAACAGGGTTGAACCTTTCTCTTTATAGATCAGTTTTGGAAAGCTCTTTATGTGGAATCTGCAGATGGATATTCGGATAGCTCTGAGGATTTCATTGGAGACGGGAATACATAAAGAAAGTAGACAGCAGCATTCTCAGGAGATTCTTTGTGATGTTTGCTTTTAAGTCACAGAGTTGAATATTCCCTTCAATAGAGCAGGTTTGAAACACTCTTTCTGTAGTATCTGGAAGTGGACATTTCGATCGATTTCAGGCCTATGTTGAAAAAGGAAATACCTTAACATAAAAACTAGACAGAAGCATTCTCAGAAACGTCTTTGTGATGTGTGTCCTCAACTAACAGAGTTCAACCTTTCTTATGATACAGCAGTTTGGAAACACTCTTTTTATAGAATTTGCAAGTTGATACATGGATAGCCCTAACTATTTCGTTGGAAACGGGAATATCTTCATATAAAACCTAGGCAGAAGCACTCTCAGAAACTACTTTGTGATATCTGCATTGATATCAGAGAGTTGAATATTCCCCTTCTAAGGGCAGGCTTGAAAGCGTCTTTTCGTGGAATCTGCAGGAGGATATTTGGATAGCTTTGAGGGTTACGTTGGAAACGGGATTACATGTACAAAGCAGACAGCAGCATTCTCAGAAGCTGCTTTATGATGTTTGCTTTCAAGTCACAGAGTTGAACGTTCCCTTTCATAGAGCAGGTTTCAAACCCTCTTTCTGCAGTATCTGGAAGTGGACATTTCGAGCGCTGTCAGGCCTATGGTGAACAAGGAAATATCTTCCCATGCAAACTAGACAGAAGCATTCGCAGAAACTTGTTTGTGATGTGTGTCCTCAACTCACAGAGTTGAACATTTCGTTTGACAGAGCAGTTTGGAAACACGATTTTTGTAGAATCTGCAAGTGGATATTTGGATGGCTTTGTGGATTTCGTTGGAAACGGGAGTATCTTCATAGAAAACCTAGACAGTAACATTCTCAGAAACTGCTTTGTGATATCTGCATTCACGTCACAGAGTAGAACATTCCCTTTCATAGAGCACGTTTGAAACACACTTTCTGTAGTATCTGGATGTGGACACTTGGAGCGCTTGGACGCTTATGGTGAAAAAGGAAATATCGTCCCATAAAAACTAGACAGAAGCATTCTCACAAACTGCTTTGTGACGTATGTCTTCAACTAACAGAGTTGAACATTTCTATTTACAGAGCAGTTTTGAAAGACTCTTTTGGAGTATCTGCTAGTGGATATTTGGAGAGCTTTAAGGATTTCAGTGGAAACCGGAATGTCTTCAGGTAAAATCTAGACAGAGGCATTCTCAGAAACTTCTTCGTAATGTGTGTCCTCAACTAACAGTGTACAACCTATCTTTTGATACAGCACGTTGGAAACACTCTTTTTATAGAATCTGCAAGTGGATATTTGGATAGCTCTAACGATTTCGTTGGAAACGGGAATACCTTCATATAAAATCTAAACAGTGGCACTCTCAGAAACTGCTTTGTGATATCTTCATTCAAGCCACAGAGTTGAACATTTCCCTTCCTAAAGCAGGTTTGAAACACTTTTTTTGTCGTATCTGGAAGTGGACATTTGGAGCACTTTGACGCCTTTGGTGAAAAAGGAAATGTCTTCCCATGAAAACTAGACAGAAGCATTCTAAGAAACATTTTTGGGATATATGTACTCAACTAACAGAGTTGAACCTTTCTCTTTATAGATCAGTTTTGGAAAGCTCTTTATGTGGAATCTGCAGATGGATATTCGGATAGCTCTGAGGATTTCGTTGGAGACGGGAATACATAAAGAATGTAGACAGCAGCATTCTCAGGAGATTCTTTGTGATGTTTGCTTTTAAGTCACAGAGTTGAATATTCCCTTCAATAGAGCAGGTTTGAAACACTCATTCTGTAGTATCTGGAATTGGACATTTCGATCGATTTCAGGCCTATGTTGAAAAAGGAAATACCTTAACATAAAAACTAGACAGAAGCATTCTCAGAAACGTCTTTGTGATGTGTGTCCTCAACTAACAGAGTTCAACCTTTCTTATGATACAGCAGTTTGGAAACACTCTTTTTATAGAATTTGCAAGTTGATACATGGATAGCCCTAACTATTTCGTTGGAAACGGGAATATCTTCATATAAAACCTAGACAGAAGCACTCTCAGAAACTACTTTGTGATATCTGCATTGATATCAGAGAGTTGAATATTCCCTTTCTAAGGGAAGGCTTGAAAGCGTCTTTTCGTGGAATCTGCTGGAGGATATTTGGATAGCTTTGAGGGTTACGTTGGAAACGGGATTACATATACAAAGTAGACAGCAGCATTCTCAGAAGCTTCTTTGTGATGTTTGCGTTTAAGTCACAGAGTTGAACGTTCCCTTTCATAGAGCAGGTTTCAAACCCTCTTTCTGCAGTATCTGGAAGTGGACATTTCGAGCGCTTTCAGGCCCGTGGTGAACAAGGAAATATCTTCCCATGCAAACTAGACAGAAGCATTCGCAGAAACTTGTTTGTGATGTGTGTCCTCAACTCACGGAGTTGAACATTTCGTTTGACAGAGCAGTTTGGAAACACGATTTTTGTAGAATCTGCAAGTGGATATTTGGATGGCTTTGTGGATTTCGTTGGAAACGGGAGTATCTTCACAGACAACCTAGACAGTAACATGCTCAGAAACTGCTTTGTGATATCTGCATTCACGTCACAGAGTTGAACATTCCCTTTCATAGAGCAGGTTTGAAACACACTTTCTGTAGTATCTGGATGTGGGCACTTGGAGCGCTTGGACGCTTATGGTGAAAAAGGACATATCGTTCCATAAAAACTGGAAAGAAGCATTCTCACAAACTGCTTTGTGACGTATGTCGTCAGCTAACAGAGTTGAGCGTTTCTATTCACAGAGCAGTTTTGAAAGACTCTTTTGGAGTATCTGCTAGTGGATATGTGGAGAGCTTTAAGGATTTCACTGGAAACCGGAATGTCTTCAGGTAAAATCTAGACAGAGGCATTCTCAGAAACTTCTTTGTAATGTGTGTCCTCAACTAACAGTGTACAACCTATCTTTTGATACAGCACGTTGGAAACACTCTTTTTATAGAATCTGCAAGTGGATATTTGGATAGCTCTAACGATTTCGTTGGAAACGGGAATACCTTCATATAAAATCTAGACAGTGGCACTCTCAGAAACTGCTTTGTGATATCTGCATTCAAGCCACAGAATTGAACAATTCCTTTCCTAAAGCAGGTTTGAAACACTCGTTTTGTCGTATCTGGAAGTGGACATTTGGAGCACTTTGACGCCTTTGGTGAAAAAGGAAATGTCTTCCCGTCAAAACTAGACAGAAGCATTCTAAGAAACATTTTTGGGATATATGTACTCAAGTAACAGAGTTGAACCTTTCTCTTTACAGATCAGTTTTGGAAAGCTCTTTATGTGGAATCTGCAGATGGATATTCGGATAGCTCTGAGGATTTCGTTGGAGACGGGAATACATAAAGAAAATAGACAGCAGCATTCTCGGGAGATTCTTTGTGATGTTTGCTTTTCAGTCACAGAGTTGAATATTCCCTTCAATAGAGCAGGTTTGAAACACTCTTTCTGTAGTATCTGGAAGTGGCCATTTCGATCGATTTCAGGCGTATGTTGAAAAAGGAAATATCTTAACATAAAAACTAGACAGAAGCATTCTCAGAAACGTCTTTGTGATGTGTGTCCTCAACTAACAGAGTTCAACCTTTCTTATGATACAGCAGTTGGGAAACACCCTTTTTATAGAATTTGCAAGCTGATACATGGATAGCCCTAACTATTTCGTTGGAAACGGGAATATCTTCACATAAAACCTAGACAGAAGCACTCTCAGAAACTACTTTGTGATATCTGCATTGATATCAGAGAGTTGAATATTCCCTTTCTAAGGGCAGGCTTGAAAGCGTCTTTTCGTGGAATCTGCAGGAGGATATTTGGATAGCTTTGAGGGTTACGTTGGAAACGGGATTACATGTACAAAGCAGACAGCAGCATTCTCAGAAGCTTCTTTATGATGTTTGCGTTCAAGTCACACAGTTGAACGTTCCCTTTCATAGAGCAGGTTTGAAACCCTCTTTCTGCAGTATCTGGAAGTGGACATTTCGAGCGCTTTCAGGCCTATGGTGAACAAGGAAATATCTTCCCATGCAAACTAGACAGAAGCATTCGCAGAAACTTGTTTGTGATGTGTGTCCTCAACTCACAGAGTTGAACATTTCGTTTGACAGAGCAGTTTGGAAACACGATTTTTGTAGAATCTGCAAGTGGATATTTGGATGGCTTTGTGGATTTCGTTGGAAACGGGAGTATCTTCATAGAAAACCTAGACAGTAACATTCTCAGAAACGGCTTTGTGATATCCGCATTCAGGTCACAGAGTTGAACATTCCCTTTCATAGAGCAGGTTTGAAACACCCTTTCTGTAGTATCTGGATGTGGGCACTTGGAGCGCTTGGACGCTTATGGTGAAAAAGGAAATATCGTCCCATAAAAACTAGACAGAAGCATTCTCACAAACTGCTTTGTGACGTATGTCTTCAACTAACAGAGTTGAACATTTCTATTCACAGAGCAGTTTTGAAAGACTCTTTTGGAGTATCTGCTAGTGGATATTTGGAGAGCTTTAAGGATTTCATTGGAAACCGGAATATCTTCAGGTAAAATCTAGACAGAGGCATTCTCAGAAACTTCTTCGTAATGTGTGTCCTCAACTAACAGTGTACAACCTATCTTTTGATACAGCACGTTGGAAACACTCTTTTTATAGAATCTGCAAGTGGATAGTTGGATAGCTCTAACGATTTCGTTGGAAACGGGAATACCTTCATATAAAATTTAGACAGTGGCACTCTCAGAAACTGCTTTGTGATATCTGCATTCAAGCCACAGAGTTGAAAATTTCCCTTCCTAAAGCAGGTTTGAAACACTCTTTCTGTCATATCTGGAAGTGGACATTTGGAGCACTTTGACGCCTTTGGTGAAAAAGGAAATGTCTTCCCATCAAAACTAGACAGAAGCATTCAAAGAAACATTTTTGGGATATATGTACTGAACTAAGAGAGATGAACCTTTCTCTTTATAGATCAGTTTTGGAAAGCTCTTTATGTGGAATCTGCAGATGGATATTCGGATAGCTCTGAGGATTTCGTTGGAGACGGGAATATATAAAGAAAGTAGACAGCAGCATTCTCGGGAGATTCTTTGTGATGTTTGCTTTGAAGTCACAGAGTTGAATATTCCCTTCAATAGAGCAGGTTTGAAACACTCTTTCTGTAGTATCTGGAAGTGGACATTTCGATCGATTTCAGGCCTATGTTGAAAAAGGAAATATCTTAACATAAAAACTAGACAGAAGCATTCTCAGAAACGTCTTTGTGATGTGTGTCCTCAACTAACAGAGTTCAACCTTTCTTATGATACAGCAGTTGGGAAACACTCTTTTTATAGAATTTGCAAGTTGATACATGGATAGCCCTAACTATTTCGTTGGAAACGGGAATATCTTCACATAAAACCTAGACAGAAGCACTCTCAGAAACTACTTTGTGATATCTGCATTGATAACAGAGAGTTGAATATTCCCTTTCTAAGGGCAGGCTTGAAAGCGTCTTTTCGTGGAATCTGCAGGAGGATATTTGGATAGCTTTGAGGGTTACGTTGGAAACGGGATTACATATACAAAGTAGACAGCAGCATTCTCAGAAGCTTCTTTGTGATGTTTGCGTTTAAGTCACAGAGTTGAACGTTCCCTTTCATAGAGCAGGTTTCAAACCCTCTTTCTGCAGTATCTGGAAGTGGACATTTCGAGCGCTTTCAGGCCTATGGTGAACAAGGAAATATCTTCCCAAGCAAACTAGACAGAAGCATTCGCAGAAACTTGTTTGTGATGTGTGTCCTCAACTCACAGAGTTGAACATTTCGTTTGACAGAGCAGTTTGGAAACACGGTTTTTGTAGAATCTGCAAGTGTATATTTGGATGGCTTTGTGGATTTCGTTGGAAACGGGAGTATCTTCAGAGACAACCTAAACAGTAACATTCTCAGAAACTGCTTTGTGATATCTGCATTCACGTCACAGTGTTGAACATTCCCTTTCATAGAGCAGGTTTGAAACACACTTTCTGTAGTATCTGGATGTGGGCACTTGGAGCGCTTGGACGCTTATGGTGAAAAAGGACATATCGTCCCATAAAAAGTGGACAGAAGCATTCTCACAAACGGCTTTGTGACGTATGTCTTCAACTAACAGAGTTGAACATTTCTATTCACAGAGCAGTTTTGAAAGACTCTTTTGGAGTATCTGCTAGTGGATATTTGGAGAGCTTTAAGGATTTCATTGGAAACCGGAATATCTTCAGGTAAAATCTAGACAGAGGCATTCTCAGAAACTTCTTCGTAATGTGTGTCCTCAACTAACAGTGTACAACCTATCTTTTGATACAGCACGTTGGAAACACTCTTTTTATAGAATCTGCAAGTGGATAGTTGGATAGCTCTAACGATTTCGTTGGAAACGGGAATACCTTCATATAAAATCTAGACAGTGGCACTCTCAGAAACTGCTTTGTGATATCTGCATTCAAGCCACAGAGTTGAACATTTCCCTTCCTGAAGCAGGTTTGAAACACTCTTTTTGTCGTATCTGGAAGTGGACATTTGGAGCACTTTGACGCCTTTGGTGAAAAAGGAAATGTCTTCCCATGAAAACTAGACAGAAGCATTCTAAGAAACTTTTTTGGGATATATGTACTCAACTAACAGAGTTGAACCTTCCTCTTTATAGATCAGTTTTGGAAAGCTCTTTATGTGGAATCTGCAAGTGGATATTCGGATAGCTCTGAGGATTTCGCTGGAGACGGGAATACATAAAGAAAGTAGACAGCAGCATTCTCGGGAGATTCTTTGTGATGTTTGCTTTTAAGTCACAGAGTTGAATATTCCCTTCAATAGAGCAGGTTTGAAACACTCTTTCTGTAGTATCTGGAAGTGGACATTTCGATCGATTTCAGGCCTATGTTGAAAAAGGAAATATCGTAACATAAAAACTAGACAGAAGCATTCTCAGAAACGTCTTTGTGATGTGTGTCCTCAACTAACAGAGTTCAACCTTTCTTATGATACAGCAGTTGGGAAACACTCTTTTTATAGAATTTGCAAGCTGATACATGGATAGCCCTAACTATTTCATTGGAAACGGGAATATCTTCACATAAAACCTAGACAGAAGCACTCTCAGAAACTACTTTGTGATATCTGCATTGATATCAGAGAGTTGAATATTCCCTTTCTAAGGGCAGGCTTGAAAGCGTCTTTTCGTGGAATCTGCAGGAGGATATTTGGATAGCTTTGAGGGTTACGTTGGAAACGGGATTACATGTACAAAGCAGACAGCAGCATTCTCAGAAGCTTCTTTGTGATGTTTGCGTTTAAGTCACAGAGTTGAACGTTCCCTTTCATAGAGCAGGTTTCAAACCCTCTTTCTGCAGTATCTGGAAGTGGACATTTCGAGCGCTTTCAGGCCCATGGTGAACAAGGAAATATCTTCCCATGCAAACTAGACAGAAGCATTCGCAGAAACTTGTTTGTGATGTGTGTCCTTAACTCACGGAGTTGAACATTTCGTTTGACAGAGCAGTTTGGAAACACGATTTTTGTAGAATCTGCAAGTGGATATTTGGATGGCTTTGTGGATTTCGTTGGAAACGGGAGTATCTTCATAGACAACCTAGACAGTAACATGCTCAGAAACTGTTTTGTGATATCTGCATTCACGTCACAGAGTTGAACATTCCCTTTCATAGAGCAGGTTTGAAACACACTTTCTGTAGTATCTGGATGTGGGCACTTGGAGCGCTTGGACGCTTATGGTGAAAAAGGACATATCGTCCCATAAAAACTGGACAGAAGCATTCTCACAAACTGCTTTGTGACGTATGTCTTCAACTAACAGAGTTGAACATTTCTATTCACAGAGCAGTTTTGAAAGACTCTTTTGGAGTATCTGCTAGTGGATATTTGGAGAGCTTTAAGGATTTCATTGGAAACCGGAATATCTTCAGGTAAAATCTAGACAGAGGCATTCTCAGAAACTTCTTTGTAATGTGTGTCCTCAACTAACAGTGTACAACCTATCTTTTGATACAGCACGTTGGAAACACTCTTTTTATAGAATCTGCAAGTGGATATTTGGATAGCTCTAACGATTTCGTTGGAAACGGGAATACCTTCATATAAAATCTAGACAGTGGCACTCTCAGAAACTGCTCTGTGATATCTGCATTCAAGCCACAGAGTTGAACATTTCCCTTCCTAAAGCAGGTTTGAAACACTCTTTCTGTCGTATCTGGAAGTGGACATTTGGAGCACTTTGACGCCTTTGGTGAAAAAGGAAATGTCTTCCCATCAAAACTAGACAGAAGCTTTCTAAGAAACATTTTTGGGATATATGTACTCAAGTAACAGAGTTGAACCTTTCTCTTTATAGATCAGTTTTGGAAAGCTCTTTATGTGGAATCTGCAAATGGATATTCGGATAGCTCTGAGGATTTCGTTGGAGACGGGAATACATAAAGAATGTAGACAGCAGCATTCTCGGGAGATTCTTTGTGATGTTTGCTTTGAAGTCACAGAGTTGAATATTCCCTTCAATAGAGCAGGTTTGAAACACTCTTTCTGTAGTATCTGGAAGTGGCCATTTCGATCGATTTCAGGCCTATGTTGAAAAAGGAAATATCTTAACATAAAAACTAGACGGAAGCATTCTCAGAAACGTCTTTGTGATGTGTGTCCTCAACTAACAGTGTTCAACCTTTCTTATGATACAGCAGTTTGGAAACACTCTTTTTATAGAATTTGCAAGTTGATACATGGATAGCCCTAACCATTTCCTTGGAAACGGGAATATCTTCATATAAAACCTAGACAGAAGCACTCTCAGAAACTACTTTGTGATATCTGCATTGATATCAGAGAGTTGAATATTCCCTTTCTAAGGGAAGGCTTGAAAGCGTCTTTTCGTGGAATCTGCTGGAGGATATTTGGATAGCTTTGAGGGTTACTTTGGAAACGGGATTACATATACAAAGTAGACAGCAGCATTCTCAGAAGCTTCTTTGTGATGTTTGCGTTTAAGTCACAGAGTTGAACGTTCCCTTTCATAGAGCAGGTTTCAAACCCTCTTTCTGCAGTATCTGGAAGTGGACATTTCGAGCGCTTTCAGGCCCATGGTGAACAAGGAAATATCTTCCCATGCAAACTAGACAGAAGCATTCGCAGAAACTTGTTTGTGATCTGTGTCCTCAACTCACGGAGTTGAACATTTCATTTGACAGAGCAGTTTGGAAACACGATTTTTGTAGAATCGGGAAGTGGATATTTGGATGGCTTTGTGGATTTCGTTGGAAACGGGAGTATCTTCATAGACAACCTAGACAGTAACATTCTCAGAAACTGCTTTGTGATATCTGCATTCACGTCACAGAGTAGAACATTCCCTTTCATAGAGCACGTTTGAAACACACTTTCTGTAGTATCTGGATGTGGACACTTGGAGCGCTTGGACGCTTATGGTGAAAAAGGAAATATCGTCCCATAAAAACTAGACAGAAGCATTCTCACAAACTGCTTTGTGACGTATGTCTTCAACTAACAGAGTTGAACATTTCTATTCACAGAGCAGTTTTGAAAGACTCTTTTGGAGTATCTGCTAGTGGATATTTGGAGAGCTTTAAGGATTTCATTGGAAACCGGAATATCTTCAGGTAAAATCTAGACAGAGGCATTCTCAGAAACTTCTTTGTCATGTGTGTCCTCAACTAACAGTGTACAACCTATCTTTTGATACAGCACGTTGGAAACACTCTTTTTATAGAATCTGCAAGTGGATATTTGGATAGCTCTAACGATTTCGTTGGAAACGGGAATACCTTCATATAAAATATAGACAGTGGCACTCTCAGAAACTGCTTTGTGATATCTGCATTCAAGCCACAGAGTTGAACATTTCCCTTCCTAAAGCAGGTTTGAAACACTCTTTCTGTCGTATCTGGAAGTGGACATTTGGAGCACTTTGACGCCTTTGGTGAAAAAGGAAATGTCTTCCCATCAAAACTAGACAGAAGCATTCTAAGAAACATTTTTGGGATATATGTACTCAAGTAACAGAGTTGAACCTTTCTCTTTATAGATCAGTTTTGGAAAGCTCTTTATGTGGAATCTGCAAATGGATATTCGGATAGCTCTGAGGATTTCGTTGGAGACGGGAATACATAAAGAATGTAGACAGCAGCATTCTCGGGAGATTCTTTGTGATGTTTGCTTTTCAGTCACAGAGTTGAATATTCCTTTCAATAGAGCAGGTTTGAAACACTCTTTCCGTAGTATCTGGAAGTGGACATTTCGATCGATTTCAGGCCTATGTTGAAAAAGGAAATATCTTAACATAAAAACTAGACAGAAGCATTCTCAGAAACGTCTTTGTGATGTGTGTCCTCAACTAACAGAGTTCAACCTTTCTTATGATACAGCAGTTTGGAAACACTCTTTTTATAGAATTTGCAAGTTGATACATGGATAGCCCTAACTATTTCGTTGGAAACGGGAATATCTTCATATAAAACCTAGGCAGAAGCACTCTCAGAAACTACTTTGTGATATCTGCATTGATATCAGAGAGTTGAATATTCCCTTTCTAAGGGCAGGCTTGAAAGCGTCTTTTCGTGGAATCTGCAGGAGGATATTTGGATAGCTTTGAGGGTTACGTTGGAAACGGGATTACATTTACAAAGCAGACAGCAGCATTCTCAGAAGCTTCTTTATGATGTTTGCGTTCAAGTCACACAGTTGAACGTTCCCTTTCATAGAGCAGGTTTCAAACCAACTTTCTGCAGTATCTGGAAGTGGACATTTCGAGCGCTTTCAGGCCTATGGTGAACAAGGAAATATCTTCCCATGCAAACTAGACAGAAGCATTCGCAGAAACTTGTTTCTGATGTGTGTCCTCAATTCACGGAGTTGAATATTTCGTTTGACAGAGCAGTTCGGAAACACGATTTTTGTAGAATCTTCAAGTGGATATTTGGATGGCTTTGTGGATTTCGTTGGAAACGGGAGTATCTTCATAGACAACCTAGACAGTAACATGCTCAGAAACTGCTTTGTGATATCTGCATTCACGTCACAGAGTTGAACATTCCCTTTCATAGAGCAGGTTTGAAACACACTTTCTGTAGTATCTGGATGTGGGCACTTGGAGCGCTTGGACGCTTATGGTGAAAAAGGACAGATCGTCCCATAAAAACTGGACAGAAGCATTCTCACAAACTGCTTTGTGACGTATGTCGTCAGCTAACAGAGTTGAGCATTTCTATTCACAGAGCAGTTTTGAAAGACTCTTTTGGAGTATCTGCTAGTGGATATGTGGAGAGCTTTAAGGATTTCACTGGAAACCGGAATATCTTCAGGTAAAATCTAGACAGAGGCATTCTCAGAAACTTCTTTGTAATGTGTGTCCTCAACTAACAGTGTACAACCTATCTTTTGATACAGCACGTTGGAAACACTCTTTTTATAGAATCTGCAAGTGGATATTTGGATAGCTCTAACGATTTCGTTGGAAACGGGAATACCTTCATATAAAATCTAGACAGTGGCACTCTCAGAAACTGCTTTGTGATATCTGCATTCAAGCCACAGAGTTGAACATTTCCCTTCCTAAAGCAGGTTTGAAACACTCTTTCTGTCGTATCTGGAAGTGGACATTTGGAGCACTTTGACGCCTTTGGTGAAAAAGGAAATGTCTTCCCATCAAAACTAGACAGAAGCTTTCTAAGAAACATTTTTGGGATATATGTACTCAACTAACAGAGTTGAACCTTTCTCTTTATAGATCAGTTTTGGAAAGCTCTTTATGTGGAATCTGCAGATGGATATTCGGATAGCTCTGAGGATTTCGTTGGAGACGGGAATACATAAAGAAAGTAGACAGCAGCATTCTCAGGAGATTCTTTGTGATGTTTGCTTTTAAGTCACAGAGTTGAATATTCCCTTCAATAGAGCAGGTTTGAAACACTCTTTCTGTAGTATCTGGAAGTGGACATTTCGATCGATTTCAGGCCTATGTTGAAAAAGGAAATACCTTAACATAAAAACTAGACAGAAGCATTCTCAGAAACGTCGTTGTGATGTGTGTCCTCAACTAACAGAGTTCAACCTTTCTTATGATACGGCAGTTTGGAAACACTCTTTTTATAGAATTTGCAAGTTGATACATGGATAGCCCTAACTATTTCGTTGGAAACGGGAATATCTTCATATAAAACCTAGACAGAAGCACTCTCAGAAACTACTTTGTGATATCTGCATTGATATCACAGAGTTGAATATTCCCTTTCTAAGGGCAGGCTTGAAAGCGTCTTTTCGTGGAATCTGCAGGAGGATATTTGGATAGCTTTGAGGGTTACGTTGGAAACGGGATTACATGTACAAAGCAGACAGCAGCATTCTCAGAAGCTTCTTTATGATGTTTGCATTCAAGTCACACAGTTGAACGTTCCCTTTCATAGAGCAGGTTTCAAACCCTCTTTCTGCAGTATCTGGAAGTGGACATTTCGAGCGCTTTCAGGCCTATGGTGAACAAGGAAATATCTTCCCATGCAAACTAGACAGAAGCATTCGCAGAAACTTGTTTGTGATGTGTGTCCTCAACTCACAGAGTTGAACATTTCGTTTGACAGAGCAGTTTGGAAACACGATTTTTGTAGAATCTGCAAGTGGATATTTGGACGGCTTTGTGGATTTCGTTGGAAACGGGAGTATCTTCATAGAAAACCTAGACAGTAACATTCTCAGAAACGGCTTTGTGATATCCGCATTCACGTCACAGAGTTGAACATTCCCTTTCACGGAGCAGGTTTGAAACACCCTTTCTGTAGTATCTGGATGTGGGCACTTGGAGCGCTTGGAGGCTTATGGTGAAAAAGGAAATATCGTCCCATAAAAACTAGACAGAAGCATTCTCACAAACTGCTTTGAGACGTATGTCGTCAGCTAACAGAGTTGAACATTTCTATTCACAGAGCAGTTTTGAAAGACTCTTTTGGAGTATCGGCTAGTGGATATGTGGAGAGCTTTAAGGATTTCACCGGAAACCGGAATATCTTCAGGTAAAATCTAGACAGAGGCATTCTCAGAAACTTCTTCCTAATGTGTGTCCTCAACTAACAGTGTACAACCTATCTTTTGATACAGCACGTTGGAAACACTCTTTTTATAGAATCTGCAAGTGGATATTTGGATAGCTCTAACGATTTCGTTGGAAACGGGAATACCTTCATATAAAATCTAGACAGTGGCACTCTCAGAAACTGCTTTGTGATATCTGCATTCAAGCCACAGAGTTGAACATTTCCCTTCCTAAAGCAGGTTTGAAACACTCTTTTTGTCGTATCTGGAAGTGGACATTTGGAGCACTTTGACGCCTTTGGTGAAAATGAAAAGTCTTCCCATGAAAACTAGACAGAAGCATTCTATGAAACATTTCTGGGATATATGTACTCAACTAACAGAGTTGAACCTTTCTCTTTATAGATCAGTTTTGGAAAGCTCTTTATGTGGAATCTGCAGATGGATATTCGGATAGCTCTGAGGATTTCGTTGGAGACGGGAATACATAAAGATAGTAGACAGCAGCATTCTCAAGAGATCCTTTGTGATGTTTGCTTTTAAGTCACAGAGTTGAATATTCCCTTCAATAGAGCAGGTTTGAAACACTCTTTCTGTAGTATCTGGAAGTGGACATTTCGATCGATTACAGACCTATGTTGAAAAAGGAAATATCTTAACATAAAAACTAGACAGAAGCATTCTCAGAAATGTCTTTGTGATGTGTGTCCTCAACTAACAGAGTTCAACCTTTCTTATGATACAGCAGTTTGGAAACACTCTTTTTATAGAATTTGCAAGTTGATACATGGATAGCCCTAACTATTTCGTTGGAAACGGGAATATCTTCATATAAAACCTAGACAGAAGCACTCTCAGAAACTACTTTGTGATATCTGCATTGATATCAGAGAGTTGAATATTCCCTTTCTAAGGGCAGGCTTGAAAGCGTCTTTTCGTGGAATCTGCAGGAGGATATTTGGATAGCTTTGAGGGTTACGTTGGAAACGGGATTACATATACAAAGTAGACAGCAGCATTCTCAGAAGCTTCTTTGTGATGTTTGCGTTTAAGTCACAGAGTTGAACGTTCCCTTTCATAGAGCAGGTTTCAAACCCTCTTTCTGCAGTATCTGGAAGTGGACATTTCGAGCGCTTTCAGGCCCATGGTGAACAAGGAAATATCTTCCCAAGCAAACTAGATAGAAGCATTCGCAGAAACTTGTTTGTGATGTGTGTCCTCAACTCACAGAGTTGAACATTTCGTTTGACAGAGCAGTTTGGAAACACGATTTTTGTAGAATCTGCAAGTGGATATTTGGATGGCTTTGTGGATTTCGTTGGAAACGGGAGTATCTTCATAGACAACCTAGACAGTAACATGCTCAGAAACTGCTTTGTGATATCTGCATTCACGTCACAGAGTTGAACATTCCCTTTCATAGAGCAGGTTTGAAACACACTTTCTGTAGTATCTGGATGTGGGCACTTGGAGCGCTTGGACGCTTATGGTGAAAAAGGACAGATCGTCCCATAAAAACTGGACAGAAGCATTCTCACAAACTGCTTTGTGACGTATGTCTTCAACTAACAGAGTTGAACATTTCTATTCACAGAGCAGTTTTGAAAGACTCTTTTGGAGTATCTGCTAGTGGATATTTGGAGAGCTTTAAGGATTTCATTGGAAACCGGAATATCTTCAGGTAAAATCTAGACAGAGGCATTCTCAGAAACTTCTTTGTAATGTGTGTCCTCAACTAACAGTGTACAACCTATCTTTTGATACAGCACGTTGGAAACACTCTTTTTATACAATCTGCAAGTGGATAGTTGGATAGCTCTAACGATTTCTTTGGAAACGGGAATACCTTCATATAAAATCTAGACAGTGGCACTCTCAGAAAACTGCTTTGTGATATCTGCATTCAAGCCACAGAGTTGAACATTTCCCTTCCTAAAGCAGGTTTGAAACACTCTTTTTGTCGTATCTGGAAGTGGACATTTGGAGCACTTTGACGCCTTTGGTGAAAAAGGAAATGTCTTCCCATCAAAACTAGACAGAAGCATTCTAAGAAACATTTTTGGGATATATGTACTCAACTAACAGAGTTGAACCTTTCTCTTTATAGATCAGTTTTGGAAAGCTCTTTATGTGGAATCTGCAGATGGATATTCGGATAGCTCTGAGGATTTCGTTGGAGACGGGAATACATAAAGAAAGTAGACAGCAGCATTCTCGGGAGATCCTTTGTGATGTTTGCTTTGAAGTCACAGAGTTGAATATTCCCTTCAATAGAGCAGGTTTGAAACACTCTTTCTGTAGTATCTGGAAGTGGCCATTTCGATCAATTTCAGGCCTATGTTGAAAAAGGAAATATCTTAACATAAAAACTAGACAGAAGCATTCTCAGAAACGTCTTTGTGATGTGTGTCCT
Source organism: Homo sapiens (assembly GCF_000001405.40). Taxonomy (NCBI): domain Eukaryota; kingdom Metazoa; phylum Chordata; class Mammalia; order Primates; family Hominidae; genus Homo; species Homo sapiens. Next base: position 15,634,056 of record NC_000018.10, read on the forward strand.
CAACTAACAGAGTTCAACATTTCTTATGATACAGCAGTTTGGAAACACTCTTTTTATAGAATTTGCAAGTTGATACATGGATAGCCCTAACTATTTCGTTGGAAACGGGAATATCTTCATATAAAACCTAGGCAGAAGCACTCTCAGAAACTACTTTGTGATATCTGCATTGATATCAGAGAGTTGAATATTCCCTTTCTAAGGGCAGGCTTGAAAGCGTCTTTTCGTGGAATCTGCAGGAGGATATTTGGATAGCTTGGAGGGATACGTTGGAAACGGGATTACATATACAAAGTAGACAGCAGCATTCTCAGAAGCTTCGTCATGATGTTTGCGTTTAAGTCACAGAGTTGAACGTTCCCTTTCATAGAGCAGGTTTCAAACCCTCTTTCTGCAGTATCTGGAAGTGGACATTTCGAGCGCTTTCAGGCCTATGGTGAACAAGGAAATATCTTCCCATGCAAACTAGACAGAAGCATTCGCAGAAACTTGTTTGTGATGTGTGTCCTCAACTCACAGAGTTGAACATTTCTTTTGACAGAGCAGTTTGGAAACACGATTTTTGTAGAATCTGCAAGTGGATATTTGGATGGCTTTGTGGATTTCGTTGGAAACGGGAGTATCTTCATAGACAACCTAGACAGTAACATTCTCAGAAACGGCTTTGTGATATCTGCATTCACGTCACAGAGTTGAACATTCCCTTTCATAGAGCAGGTTTGAAACACACTTTCTGCAGTATCTGGATGTGGGCACTTGGAGCGCTTGGACGCTTATGGTGAAAAAGGACATATCGTCCCATAAAAACTGGACAGAAGCATTCTCACAAACTGCTTTGTGACGTATGTCTTCAACTAACAGAGTTGAATATTTCTATTTACAGAGCAGTTTTGAAAGACTCTTTTGGAGTATCTGCTAGTGGATATTTGGAGAGCTTTAAGGATTTCATTGGAAACCGGAATGTCTTCAGGTAAAATCTGGACAGAGGCATTCTCAGAAACTTCTTTGTAATGTGTGTCCTCAACTAACAGTGTACAACCTATCTTTTGATACAGCACGTTGGAAACACTCTTTTTATAGAATCTGCAAGTGGATATTTGGATAGCTCTAACGATTTCGTTGGAAACGGGAATCCCTTCATATAAAATCTAGACAGTGGCACTCTCAGAAACTGCTTTGTGATATCTGCATTCAAGCCACAGAGTTGAACAATTCCCTTCCTAAAGAAGGTTTGAAACACTCGTTTTGTCGTATCTGGAAGTGGACATTTGGAGCATTTTGACGCCTTTGGTGAAAAAGGAAATCTCTTCCCGTCAAAACTAGACAGAAGCATTCTAAGAAAAATTTTTGGGATATATGTACTCAACTAACAGAGTTGAACCTTTCTCTTTATAGATCAGTTTCGGAAAGCTCTTTATGTGGAATCTGCAGATGGATATTCGGATAGCTCTGAGGATTTCGTTGGAGACGGGAATACATAAAGAAAGTAGACAGCAGCATTCTCAGGAGATTCTTTGTGATGTTTGCTTTTAAGTCACAGAGTTGAATATTCCCTTCAATAGAGCAGGTTTGAAACACTCTTTCTGTAGTATCTGGAAGTGGACATTTCGATCGATTTCAGGCCTATGTTGAAAAAGGAAATACCTTAATATCAAAACTAGACAGAAGCATTCTCAGAAACGTCTTTGTGATGTGTGTCCTCAACTAACAGAGTTCAACCTTTCTTATGATACAGCAGTTTGGAAACACTCTTTTTATAGAATTTGCAAGTTGATACATGGATAGCCCTAACTATTTCGTTGGAAACGGGAATATCTTCATATAAAACCTAGACAGAAGCTCTCTCAGAAACTACTTTGTGATATCTGCGTTGATATCAGAGAGTTGAATATTCCCTTTCTAAGGGCAGGCTTGAAAGCGTCTTTTCGTGGAATCTGCAGGAGGATATTTGGATAGCTTTGAGGGTTACGTTGGAAACGGGATTACATATACAAAGTAGACAGCAGCATTCTCAGAAGCTTCTTTGTGATGTTTGCGTTTAAGTCACAGAGTTGAACGTTCCCTTTCATAGAGCAGGTTTCAAACCCTCTTTCTGCAGTATCTGGAAGTGGACATTTCGAGCGCTTTCAGGCCCATGGTGAACAAGGAAATATCTTCCCATGCAAACTAGACAGAAGCATTCGCAGAAACTTGTTTGTGATGTGTGTCCTCAACTCACGGAGTTGAACATTTCGTTTGACAGAGCAGTTTGGAAACACGATTTTTGTAGAATCTGCAAGTGGATATTTGGATGGCTTTGTGGATTTCGTTGGAAACGGGAGTATCTTCATAGACAACCTAGACAGTAACATTCTCAGAAACTGCTTTGTGATATCTGCATTCACGTCACCGAGTTGAACATTCCCTTTCATAGAGCAGGTTTGAAACACTCTTTCTGTAGTATCTGGATGTGGACACTTGGAGCGCTTGGACGCTTACGGTGAAAAAGGAAATATCTTCCCATAAAAACTAGACAGAAGCATTCTCACAAACTGCTTTGTGACGTATGTCTTCAACAAACAGAGTTGAACATTTCTATTCACAGAGCAGTTTTGAAAGACTCTTTTGGAGTATCTGCTAGTGGATATTTGGAGAGCTTTAAGGATTTCATTGGAAACCGGAATATCTTCAGGTAAAATTTAGACAGAGGCATTCTCAGAAACTTCTTCGTAATGTGTGTCCTCAACTAACAGTGTACAACCTATCTTTTGATACAGCACGTTGGAAACACTCTTTTTATAGAATCTGCAAGTGGATAGTTGGATAGCTGTAAAGATTTCGTTGGAAAAGGGAATACCTTCATATAAAATCTAGACAGTGGCACTCTCAGAAACTGCTTTGTGATATCTGCATTCAAGCCACAGAGTTGAACATTTCCCTTCCTAAAGCAGGTTTGAAACACTCTTTTTGTCGTATCTGGAAGTGGACATTTGGAGCACTTTGACGCCTTTGGTGAAAAAGGAAATGTCTTCCCATGAAAACTAGACAGAAGCTTTCTAAGAAACATTTTTGGGATATATGTACTCAACTAACAGAGTTGAACCTTTCTCTTTATAGATCAGTTTTGGAAAGCTCTTTATGTGGAATCTGCAGATGGATATTCGGATAGCTCTGAGGATTTCGTTGGAGACGGGAATACATAAAGAAAGTAGACAGCAGCATTCTCAGGAGATACTTTGTGATGTTTGCTTTTAAGTCACAGAGTTGAATATTCCCTTCAATAGAGCAGGTTTGAAACACTCTTTCTGTAGTATCTGGAAGTGGACATTTCGATCGATTTCAGGCCTATGTTGAAAAAGGAAATACCTTAACATCAAAACTAGACAGAAGCATTCTCAGAAACGTCTTTGTGATGTGTGTCCTCAACTAACAGAGTTCAACCTTTCTTATGATACAGCAGTTGGGAAACACTCTTTTTATAGAATTTGCAAGTTGATACATGGATAGCCCTAACTATTTCGTTGGAAACGGGAATATCTTCACATAAAACCTAGACAGAAGCACTCTCAGAAACTAATTTGTGATATCTGCATTGATATCAGAGAGTTGAATATTCCCTTTCTAAGGGCAGGCTTGAAAGCGTCTTTTCGTGGAATCTGCAGGAGGATATTTGGATAGCTTTGAGGGTTACGTTGGAAACGGGATTACATGTACAAAGTAGACAGCAGCATTCTCAGAAGCTTCTTTATGATGTTTGCGTTCAAGTCACACAGTTGAACGTTCCCTTTCATAGAGCAGGTTTCAAACCCTCTTTCTGCAGTATCTGGAAGTGGACATTTCGAGCGCTTTCAGGCCTATGGTGAACAAGGAAATATCTTCCCATGCAAACTAGACAGAAGCATTCGCAGAAACTTGTTTGTGATGTGTGTCCTCAACTCACAGAGTTGAACATTTCGTTTGACAGAGCAGTTTGGAAACACGATTTTTGTAGAATCTGCAAGTGGATATTTGGATGGCTTTGTGGATTTCGTTGGAAACGGGAGTATCTTCATAGAAAACCTAGACAGTAACATTCTCAGAAACGGCTTTGTGATATCCGCATTCACGTCACAGAGTTGAACATTCCCTTTCATAGAGCAGGTTTGAAACACCCTTTCTGTAGTATCTGGATGTGGGCACTTGGAGCTCTTGGACGCTTATGGTGAAAAAGGAAATATCGTCCCATAAAACCTAGACAGAAGCATTCTCACAAACTGCTTTGTGACGTATGTCGTCAGCTAACAGAGTTGAGAATTTCTATTCACAGAGCAGTTTTGAAAGACTCTTTTGGAGTATCTGCTAGTGGATATGTGGAGAGCTTTAAGGATTTCACTGGAAACCGGAATATCTTCAGGTAAAATCTAGACAGAGGCATTCTCAGAAACTTCTTTGTAATGTGTGTCCTCAACTAACAGTGTACAACCTATCTTTTGATACAGCACGTTGGAAACACTCTTTTTATAGAATCTGCAAGTGGATATTTGGATAGCTCTAACGATTTCGTTGGAAACGGGAATACCTTCATATAAAATCTAGACAGTGGCACTCTCAGAAACTGCTTTGTGATATCTGCATTCAAGCCACAGAGTTGAACATTTCCCTTCCTAAAGCAGGTTTGAAACACTCTTTCTGTCGTATCTGGAAGTGGACATTTGGAGCACTTTGACGCCTTTGGTGAAAAAGGAAATGTCTTCCCATCAAAACTAGACAGAAGCATTCTAAGAAACATTTTTGGGATATATGTACTCAACTAACAGAGTTGAACCTTTCTCTTTATAGATCAGTTTTGGAAAGCTCTTTATGTGGAATCTGCAGATGGATATTCGGATAGCTCTGAGGATTTCGTTGGAGACGGGAATACATAAAGAAAGTAGACAGCAGCATTCTCGGGAGATTCTTTGTGATGTTTGCTTTTAAGTCACAGAGTTGAATATTCCCTTCAATAGAGCAGGTTTGAAACACTCTTTCTGTAGTATCTGGAAGTGGACATTTCGATCGATTTCAGGCCTATGTTGAAAAAGGAAATATCGTAACATAAAAAATAGACAGAAGCATTCTCAGAAACGTCTTTGTGATGTGTGTCCTCAACTAACAGAGTTCAACCTTTCTTATGATACAGCAGTTGGGAAACACTCTTTTTATAGAATTTGCAAGTTGATACATGGATAGCCCTAACTATTTCGTTGGAAACGGGAATATCTTCACATAAAACCTAGACAGAAGCACTCTCAGAAACTACTTTGTGATATCTGCATTGATATCAGAGAGTTGAATATTCCCCTTCTAAGGGCAGGCTTGAAAGCGTCTTTTCGTGGAATCTGCAGGAGGATATTTGGATAGCTTTGAGGGTTACGTTGGAAACGGGATTACATGTACAAAGCAGACAGCAGCATTCTCAGAAGCTGCTTTATGATGTTTGCTTTCAAGTCACAGAGTTGAACGTTCCCTTTCATAGAGCAGGTTTCAAACCCTCTTTCTGCAGTATCTGGAAGTGGACATTTCGAGCGCTGTCAGGCCTATGGTGAACAAGGAAATATCTTCCCATGCAAACTAGACAGAAGCATTCGCAGAAACTTGATTGTGATGTGTGTCCTCAACTCACGGAGTTGAACATTTCGTTTGACAGAGCAGTTTGGAAACACGATTTTTGTAGAATCTGCAAGTGGATATTTGGGTGGCTTTGTGGATTTCGTTGGAAACGGGAGTATCTTCACAGACAACCTAGACAGTAACATGCTCAGAAACTGCTTTCTGATATCTGCCTTCATGTCACAGAGTTGAACATTCCCTTTCATAAAGCAGGTTTGAAACACACTTTCTGTAGTATCTGGATGTGGGCACTTGGAGCGCTTGGACGCTTATGGTGAAAAAGGACAGATCTTCCCATAAAAACTAGACAGAAGCATTCTCACAAACTGCTTTGTGACGTATGTCTTCAACTAACAGAGTTGAACATTTCTATTCACAGAGCAGTTTTGAAAGACTCTTTTGGAGTATCTGCTAGTGGATATTTGGAGAGCTTTAAGGATTTCATTGGAAACCGGAATATCTTCAGGTAAAATCTAGACAGAGGCATTCTCAGAAACTTCTTCGTAATGTGTGTCCTCAACTAACAGTGTACAACCTATCTTTTGATACAGCACGTTGGAAACACTCTTTTTATAGAATCTGCAAGTGGATAGTTGGATAGCTCTAACGATTTCGTTGGAAACGGGAATACCTTAATATAAAATCTAGACAGTGGCACTCGCAGAAACTGCTTTGTGATATCTGCATTCAAGCCACAGAGTTGAACATTTCCCTTCCTAAAGCAGGTTTGAAACACTCTTTCTGTCGTATCTGGAAGTGGACATTTGGAGCACTTTGACGCCTTTGGTGAAAAAGGAAATGTCTTCCCATCAAAACTAGACAGAAGCATTCTAAGAAACATTTTTGGGATATATGTACTCAACTAACAGAGTTGAACCTTTCTCTTTACAGATCAGTTTTGGAAAGCTCTTTATGTGGAATCTGCAGATGGATATTCGGATAGCTCTGAGGATTTCGTTGGAGACGGGAATACATAAAGAAAGTAGACAGCAGCATTCTCAGGAGATTCTTTGTGATGTTTGCTTTTAAGTCACAGAGTTGAATATTCCCTTCAATAGAGCAGGTTTGAAACACTCTTTCTGTAGTATCTGGAAGTGGACATTTCGATCGATTTCAGGCCTATGTTGAAAAAGGAAATACCTTAACATAAAAACTAGACAGAAGCATTCTCAGAAACGGCTTTGTGATGTGTGTCCTCAACTAACAGAGTTCAACCTTTCTTATGATACAGCAGTTTGGAAACACTCTTTTTATAGAATTTGCAAGTTGATACATGGATAGCCCTAACTATTTCGTTGGAAACGGGAATATCTTCATATAAAACCTAGACAGAAGCACTCTCAGAAACTTCTTTGTGATATCTGCATTCATATCACAGAGTTGAATATTCCCTTTCTAAGAGCGGGTTTGAAACCGTCTTTCTGTAGAATCTGCGGTAGTATATTTGGATAGCTTTGAGGATTTCGTTGGAAACGGGATTACACATACAAAGTCGACAGCAGCATTCTCAGAAGCTTCTTTGTGATGTTTGCTTTTAAGTCACACAGTTGAACACTGACTTTCATAGGGCAGGTTTCAAACACTCTCTCTGTAGTATCTGGAAGTGGACATTTCGAGCACTTTCTGGCCTATGGTGAACAAGGAAATATCTTCCCATGCAAACTAGACAGAAGCATTCGCAGAAACTTGTTTGTGATGTGTGTCCTCAACTCACAGAGTTGAACATTTGGTTTGACAGAGCAGTTTGGAAACACGATTTTTGTAGAATCTGCAAGTGGATATTTGGATGGCTTTGTGGATTTCGTTGGAAACGGGAGTATCTTCATAGAAAACCTAGACAGTAACATTCTCAGAAACGGCTTTGTGATATCCGCATTCACGTCACAGAGTTGAACATTCCCTTTCATAGAGCAGGTTTGAAACACACTTTCTGTAGTATCTGGATGTGGGCACTTGGAGCTCTTGGACGCTTATGGTGAAAAAGGAAATATCGTCCCATAAAACCTAGACAGAAGCATTCTCACAAACTGCTTTGAGACGTATGTCGTCAGCTAACAGAGTTGAACATTTCTATTCACAGAGCAGTTTTGAAAGACTCTTTTGGAGTATCTGCTAGTGGATATTTGGGAGAGCTTTAAGGATTTCACCGGAAACCGGAATATCTTCAGGTAAAATCTAGACAGAGGCATTCTCAGAAACTTCTTCGTAATGTGTGTCCTCAACTAACAGTGTACAACCTATCTTTTGATACAGCACGTTGGAAACACTCTTTTTATAGAAACTGCAAGTGGATAGTTGGATAGCTCTAAAGATTTCGTTGGAAACGGGAATACCTTCATATAAAATCTAGACAGTGGCACTCTCAGAAACTGCTTTGTGATATCTGCATTCAAGCCACAGAGTTGAACATTTCCCTTCCTAAAGCAGGTTTGAAACACTCTTTTTGTCGTATCTGGAAGTGGACATTTGGAGCACTTTGACGCCTTTGGTGAAAAAGGAAATGTCTTCCCATGAAAACTAGACAGAAGCATTCTAAGAAACATTTTTGGGATATATGTACTCAACTAACAGAGTTGAACCTTTCTCTTTATAGATCAGTTTTGGAAAGCTCTGTATGTGGAATCTGCAGATGGATATTCGGATAGCTCTGAGGATTTCGTTGGAGACGGGAATACATAAAGAAAGTAGACAGCAGCATTCTCAGGAGATTCTTTGTGATGTTTGCTTTTAAGTCACAGAGTTGAATATACCCTTCAATAGAGCAGGCTTGAAACACTCTTTCTGTAGTATCTGGAAGTGGACATTTCGATCGATTTCAGGCCTATGTTGAAAAAGGAAATACCTTAACATAAAAACTAGACAGAAGCATTCTCAGAAACGTCTTTGTGATGTGTGTCCTCAACTAACAGAGTTCAACATTTCTTATGATACAGCAGTTTGGAAACACTCTTTTTATAGAATTTGCAAGTTGATACATGGATAGCCCTAACTATTTCGTTGGAAACGGGAATATCTTCATATAAAACCGAGACAGAAGCACTCTCAGTAACTACTTTGTGATATCTGCGTTGATATCAGAGAGTTGAATATTCCCTTTCTAAGGGCAGGCTTGAAAGCGTCTTTTCGTGGAATCTGCAGGAGGATATTTGGATAGCTTTGAGGGTTACGTTGGAAACGGGATTACATATACAAAGTAGACAGCAGCATTCTCAGAAGCTTCTTTATGATGTTTGCGTTTAAGTCACAGAGTTGAACGTTCCCTTTCATAGAGCAGGTTTCAAACCCTCTTTCTGCAGTATCTGGAATTGGACATTTCGAGCGCTTTCAGGCCTATGGTGAACAAGGAAATATCTTCCCATGCAAACTAGACAGAAGCATTCGCAGAAACTTGTTTGTGATGTGTGTCCTCAACTCACAGAGTTGAACATTTCGTATGACAGAGCAGTTTGGAAACACGATTTTTGCAGAATCTGCAAGTGGATATTTGGATGGCTTTGTGGATTTCGTTGAAAACGGGAGTATCTTCATAGACAACCTAGACAGTAACATTCTCAGAAACGGCTTTGTGATATCCGCATTCACGTCACAGAGTTGAACTTTCCCTCTCATAGAGCAGGCTTGAAACACACTTTCTGTAGTATCTGGATGTGGGCACTTGGAGCGCTTGGACGCTTATGGTGAAAAAGGAAATATCGTCCCATAAAAACTAGACAGAAGCATTCTCACAAACTGCTTTGTGACGTATGTCGTCAGCTAACAGAGTTGAGCGTTTCTATTCACAGAGCAGTTTTGAAAGACTCTTTTGGAGTATCTGCTAGTGGATATGTGGAGAGCTTTAAGGATTTCACTGGAAACCGGAATATCTTCAGGTAAAAGCTAGACAGAGGCATTCTCAGAAACTTCTTTGTAATGTGTGTCCTCAACTAACAGTGTACAACCTATCTTTTGTTACAGCACGTTGGAAACACTCTTTTTATAGAATCTGCAAGTGGATATTTGGATAGCTCTAACGATTTCATTGGAAACGGGAATACCTTCATATAAAATCTAGACAGTGGCACTCTCAGAAACTGCTTTGTGATATCTGCATTCAAGCCACAGAGTTGAACATTTCCCTTCCTAAAGCAGGTTTGAAACACTCTTTCTGTCGTATCTGGAAGTGGACATTTGGAGCACTTTGACGCCTTTGGTGAAAAAGGAAATGTCTTCCCATCAAAACTAGACAGAAAGCATTCTAAGAAACATTTTTGGGATATATGTACTCAACTAACAGAGTTGAACCTTTCTCTTTACAGATCAGTTTTGGAAAGCTCTTTATGTGGAATCTGCAGATGGATATTCGGATAGCTCTGAGGATTTCGTTGGAGACGGGAATACATAAAGAAAGTAGACAGCAGCATTCTCGGGAGATTCTTTGTGATGTTTGCTTTGAAGTCACAGAGTTGAATATTCCCTTCAATAGAGCAGGTTTGAAACACTCTTTCCGTAGTATCTGGAAGTGGACATTTCGATCGATTTCAGGCCTATGTTGAAAAAGGAAATATCTTAACATAAAAACTAGACAGAAGCATTCTCAGAAACGTCTTTGTGATGTGTGTCCTCAACTAACAGAGTTCAACCTTTCTTATGATACAGCAGTTGGGAAACACTCTTTTTATAGAATTTGCAAGTTGATACATGGATAGCCCTAACTATTTCGTTGGAAACGGGAATATCTTCACATAAAACCTAGACAGAAGCACTCTCAGAAACTACTTTGTGATATCTGCATTGATATCAGAGAGTTGAATATTCCCTTTCTAAGGGCAGGCTTGAAAGCGTCTTTTCGTGGAATCTGCAGGAGGATATTTGGATAGCTTTGAGGGTTACGTGGAAACGGGATTACATGTACAAAGCAGACAGCAGCATTCTCAAAAGCTTCTTTATGATGTTTGCGTTGAAGTCACAGAGTTGAACGTTCCCATTCATAGAGCAGGTTTCAAACCCTCTTTCTGCAGTATCTGGAAGTGGACATTTCGAGCGCTTTCAGGCCTATGGTGAACAAGGAAATATCTTCCCATGCAAACTAGACAGAAGCATTCACAGAAACTTGATTGTGATGTGTGTCCTCAACTCACAGAGTTGAACATTTCGTTTGACAGAGTAGTTTGGAAACACGATTATTGCAGAATCTGCAAGTGGATATTTGGATGGCTTTGTGGATTTCGTTGGAAACGGGAGTATCTTCATAGACAACCTAGACAGTAACATTCTCAGAAACTGCTTTGTGATATCTGCATTCACGTCACAGAGTTGAACATTCCCTTTCATAGAGCAGGTTTGAAACACACTTTCTGTAGTATCTGGATGTGGGCACTTGGAGCGCTTGGACGCTTATGGTGAAAAAGGACATATCATCCCATAAAAACTGGACAGAAGCATTCTCACAAACTGCTTTGTGACGTATGTCGTCAGCTAAGAGAGTTGAGCATTTCTATTCACAGAGCAGTTTTGAAAGACTCTTTTGGAGTATCTGCTAGTGGATATGTGGAGAGCTTTAAGGATTTCACTGGAAACCGGAATATCTTCAGGTAAAATCTAGACAGAGGCATTCTCAGAAACTTCTTTGTAATGTGTGTCCTCAACTAACAGTGTACAACCTATCTTTTGATACAGCACGTTGGAAACACTCTTTTTATAGAATCTGCAAGTGGATATTTGGATAGCTCTAACGATTTCGTTGGAAACGGGAATACCTTCATATAAAATCTAGACAGTGGCACTCTCAGAAACTGCTTTGTGATATCTGCATTCAAGCCACAGAATTGAACAATTCCCTTCCTAAAGCAGGTTTGAAACACTCGTTTTGTCGTATCTGGAAGTGGACATTTGGAGCACTTTGACGCCTTTGGTGAAAAAGGAAATGTCTTCCCGTCAAAACTAGACAGAAGCATTCTAAGAAACATTTTTGGGATATATGTACTCAACTAACAGAGTTGAACCTTCCTCTTTATAGATCAGTTTTGGAAAGCTCTTTATGTGGAATCTGCAAGTGGATATTCGGATAGCTCTGAGGATTTCGCTGGAGACGGGAATACATAAAGAAAGTAGACAGCAGCATTCTCAGGAGATTCTTTGTGATGTTTACTTTTAAGTCACACAGTTGAATATTCCCTTCAATAGAGCAGGTTTGAAACACTCTTTCTGTAGTATCTGGAAGTGGACATTTCGATCGATTACAGGCCTATGTTGAAAAAGGAAATATTTTAACATAAAAACTAGACAGAAGCATTCTCACAAACGTCGTTGTGATGTGTGTCCTCAACTAACAGAGTTCAACCTTTCTTATGATACAGCAGTTTGGAAACACTCTTTTTATAGAATTCGCAAGTTGATACATGGATAGCCCTAACTATTTCGTTGGAAACGGGAATATCTTCATATAAAATGTAGACAGAAGCACTCTCAGAAACTCCTTGTGATATCTGCATTGATATCAGAGAGTTGAATATTCCCTTTTTAAGGGCAGGCTTGAAAGCGTCTTTTCGTGGAATCTGCAGGAGGATATTTGGATAGCTTTGAGGGTTACGCTGGAAACGGGATTACATATACAAAGTAGACAGCAGCATTCTCAGAAGCTTCTTTGTGATGTTTGCTTTTAAGTCACACAGTTGAACATTGCCTTTCATAGGGCAGGTTTCAAACACTCTCTCTGTAGTATCTGGAAGTGGACATTTCGAGTGCTTTCAGGCCTATGGTGAACAAGGAAATATCTTCCCATGCAAACTAGACTGAAGCATTCGCAGAAACTTGTTTGTGATGTGTGTCCTCAACTCACGGAGTTGAACATTTCGTTTGACAGAGCAGTTTGGAAACACGATTTTTGTAGAATCTGCTAGTGGATATTTGGATGGCTTTGTGGATTTCGTTGGAAACGGGAGTATCTTCATAGACAACCTAGACAGCAACATTCTCAGAAACTGCTTTGTGATATCTGCATTCACGTCACAGAGTTGAACATTCCCTTTCATAGGGCAGGTTTGAAACACACTTTCTGTAGTATCTGGATGTGGGCATTGGAGCGCTTGGACGCTTATGGTGAAAAAGGACAGATCGTCCCATAAAATCTGGACAGAATCATTCTCACAAACTGCTTTGTGACGTATGTCTTCAAATAACAGAGTTGAACATTTCTATTCACAGAGCAGTTTTGAAGGACTCTTTTGGAGTATCTGCTAGTGGATATTTGGAGAGCTTTAAGGATTTCATTGGAAACCGGAATATCTTCAGGTAAAATCTAGACAGAGGCATTCTCTGAAACTTCTTCGTAATGAGTGTCCTCAACTAACAGTGTACAACCTATCTTTTGATACAGCACGTTGGAAACACTCTTTTTATAGAATCTGCAAGTGGATAGTTGGATAGCTCTAACGATTTCGTTGGAAACGGGAATATCTTCATATAAAACCTAGACAGAGGCACTCGCAGAAACTGCTTTGTGATATCTGCATTCAAGCCACAGAGTTGAACATTTCCCTTCCTAAAGCAGGTTTGAAACACTCTTTCTGTCGTATCTGGAAGTGGACATTTGGAGCACTTTGACGCCTTTGGTGAAAAAGGAAATGTCTTCCCATCAAAACTAGACAGAAACATTCTAAGAAACATTTTTGGGATATATGTACTCAACTAACAGAGTTGAACCTTTCTCTTTATAGATCAGTTTTGGAAAGCTCTTTATGTGGAATCTGCAGATGGATATTCGGATAGCTCTGAGGATTTCGTTGGAGACGGGAATACATAAAGAAAGTAGACAGCAGCATTCTCAGGAGATTCCTTTGTGATGTTTGCTTTTAAGTCACAGAGTTGAATATTCCCTTCAATAGAGCAGGTTTGAAACACTCTTTCTGTAGTATCTGGAAGTGGACATTTCGATCGATTTCAGGCCTATGTTGAAAAAGGAAATACCTTAACATCAAAACTAGACAGAAGCATTCTCAGAAACGTCTTTGTGATGTGTGTCCTCAACTAACAGAGTTCAACCTTTCTTATGATACAGCAGTTTGGAAACACTCTTTTTATAGAATTTGCATGTTGATATATGGATAGCCCTAACTATTTCGTTGGAAACGGGAATATCTTCATATAAAACCTAGACAGAAGCACTCTCAGAAACTACTTTGTGATATCTGCATTGATATCAGAGAGTTGAATATTCCCTTTCTAAGGGCAGGCTTGAAAGCGTCTTTTTGTGGAATCTGCAGGAGGATATTTGGATAGCTTTGAGGGTTACGTTGGAAACGGGATTACATATACAAAGTAGACAGCAGCATTCTCAGAAGCTTCTTTGTGATGTTTGCGTTTAAGTCACAGAGTTGAACGTTCCCTTTCATAGAGCAGGTTTCAAACCCTCTTTCTGCAGTATCTGGAAGTGGACATTTCGAGCGCTTTCAGGCCCATGGTGAACAAGGAAATATCTTCCCATGCAAACTAGACAGAAGCATTCGCAGAAACTTGTTTGTGATGTGTGTCCTCAACTCACAGAGTTGAACATTTCGTTTGACAGAGCAGTTTGGAAACACGATTTTTGTAGAATCTGCAAGCGGATATTTGGATGGCTTTGTGGATTTCGTTGGAAACGGGAGTATCTTCATAGAAAACCTAGACAGTAACATTCTCAGAAACTGCTTTGTGATATCTGCATTCACGTCACAGAGTAGAACATTCCCTTTCATAGAGCACGTTTGAAACACACTTTCTGTAGTATCTGGATGTGGACACTTGGAGCGCTTGGACGCTTATGGTGAAAAAGGAAATATCGTCCCATAAAAACTAGACAGAAGCATTCTCACAAACTGCTTTGAGACGTATGTCGTCAGCTAACAGAGTTGAACATTTCTATTCACAGAGCAGTTTTGAAAGACTCTTTTGGAGTATCTGCTAGTGGATATTTGGAGAGCTTTAAGGATTTCACCGGAAACCGGAATATCTTCAGGTAAAATCTAGACAGAGGCATTCTCAGAAACTTCTTTGTAATGTGTGTCCTCAACTAACAGTGTACAACCTATCTTTTGATACAGCACGTTGGAAACACTCTTTTTATAGAATCTGCAAGTGGATATTTGGATAGCTCTAACGATTTCGTTGGAAATGGGAGTACCTTCATATAAAATCTAGACAGTGGCACTCTCAGAAACTGCTTTGTGATATCTGCATTCAAGCCACAGAGTTGAACATTTCCCTTCCTAAAGCAGGTTTGAAACACTCTTTTTGTCGTATCTGGAAGTGGACATTTGGAGCACTTTGACGCCTTTGGTGAAAAAGGAAATGTCTTCCCATGAAAACTAGACAGAAGCATTCTAAGAAACATTTTTGGGATATATGTACTCAACTAACAGAGTTGAACGTTTCTCTTTATAGATCAGTTTTGGAAAGCTCTTTATGTGGAATCTGCAGATGGATATTCGGATAGCTCTGAGGATTTCGTGGGAGACGGGAATATATAAAGAAAGTAGACAGCAGTATTCTCGGGAGATTCTTTGTGATGTTTGCTTTGAAGTCACAGAGTTGAATATTCCCTTCAATAGAGCAGGTTTGAAACACTCTTTCTGTAGTATCTGGAAGTGGACATTTCGATCGATTTCAGGCCTATGTTGAAAAAGGAAATATCGTAACATAAAAACTAGACAGAAGCATTCTCAGAAACGTCTTTGTGATGTGTGTCCTCAACTAACAGAGTTCAACTTTTCTTATGATACAGCAGTTTGGAAACACTCTTTTTATAGAATTTGCAAGTTGATACATGGATAGCCCTAACTATTTCGTTGGAAACGGGAATATCTTCATATAAAACCTAGACAGAAGCACTCTCAGAAACTACTTTGTGATATCTGCGTTGATATCAGAGAGTTGAATATTCCCTTTCTAAGGGCAGGCTTGAAAGCGTCTTTTCGTGGAATCTGCAGGAGGATATTTGGATAGCTTTGAGGGTTACGTTGGAAACGGGATTACATATACAAAGTAGACAGCAGCATTCTCAGAAGCTTCTTTGTGATGTTTGCGTTTAAGTCACAGAGTTGAACGTTCCCTTTCATAGAGCAGGTTTCAAACCCTCTTTCTGCAGTATCTGGAAGTGGACATTTCGAGCGCTTTCAGGCCTATGGTGAACAAGGAAATATCTTCCCAAGCAAACTAGACAGAAGCATTCGCAGAAACTTGTTTGTGATGTGTGTCCTCAACTCACGGAGTTGAACATTTCGTTTGACAGAGCAGTTTGGAAACACGATATTTGTAGAATCTGCAAGTGGATATTTGGATGGCTTTGTGGATTTCGTTGGAAACGGGAGTATCTTCATTGACAACCTAGACAGTAACATGCTCAGAAACTGTTTTGTGATATCTGCATTCACGTCACAGAGTTGAACATTCCGTTTCATAGAGCGGGTTTGAAACACACTTTCTGTAGTATCTGGATGTGGGCACTTGGAGCGCTTGGACGCTTATGGTGAAAAAGGACATATCGTCCCATAAAAACTGGACAGAAGCATTCTCACAAACTGTTTGTGACGTATGTCTTCAACTAACAGAGTTGAACATTTCTATTCACAGAGCAGTTTTGAAAGACTCTTTTGGAGTATCTGCTAGTGGATATTTGGAGAGCTTTAAGGATTTCATTGGAAACCGGAATATCTTCAGGTAAAATCTAGACAGAGGCATTCTCAGAAACTTCTTCGTAATGTGTGTCCTCAACTAACAGTGTACAACCTATCTTTTGATACAGCACGTTGGAAACACTCTTTTTATAGAATCTGCAAGTGGATAGAATCTGCAAGTGGATAGTTTCCAACGATTTCGTTGGAAACGGGAATACCTTCATATAAAATCTAGACAGTGGCACTCTCAGAAACTGCTTTGTGATATCTGCATTCAAGCCACAGAGTTGAACATTTCCCTTCCTAAAGCAGGTTTGAAACACTCTTTTTGTCGTATCTGGAAGTGGACATTTGGAGCACTTTGACGCCTTTGGTGAAAAAGGAAATGTCTTCCCATGAAAACTAGACAGAAGCATTCTAAGAAACATTTTTGGGATATATGTACTCAACTAACAGAGTTGAACCTTTCTCTTTATAGATCAGTTTTGGAAAGCTCTTTATGTGGAATCTGCAGATGGATATTCGGATAGCTCTGAGGATTTCGTTGGAGACGGGAATACATAAAGAAAGTAGACAGCAGCATTCTCGGGAGATTCTTTGTGATGTTTGCTTTGAAGTCACAGAGTTGAATATTCCCTTCAATAGAGCAGGTTTGAAACACTCTTTCAGTAGTATCTGGAAGTGGACATTTCGATCGATTTCAGGCCTATGTTGAAAAAGGAAATATCTCAACATAAAAACTAGACAGAAGCATTCTCAGAAACGTCTTTGTGATGTGTGTCCTCAACTAACAGAGTTCAACCTTTCTTATGATACAGCAGTTGGGAAACACTCTTTTTATAGAATTTGCAAGCTGATACATGGATAGCCCTAACTATTTCGTTGGAAACGGGAATATCTTCACATAAAACCTAGACAGAAGCACTCTCAGAAACTACTTTGTGATATCTGCATTGATATCAGAGAGTTGAATATTCCCTTTCTAAGGGCAGGCTTGAAAGCGTCTTTTCGTGGAATCTGCAGGAGGATATTTGGATAGCTTTGAGGGTTACGTTGGAAACGGGATTACATGTACAAAGCAGACAGCAGCATTCTCAGAAGCTTCTTTGTGATGTTTGCGTTTAAGTCACAGAGTTGAACGTTCCCTTTCAGAGAGCAGGTTTCAAACCCTCTTTCTGCAGTATCTGGAAGTGGACATTTCGAGCGCTTTCAGGCCCATGGTGAACAAGGAAATATCTTCCCATGCAAACTAGACAGAAGCATTCGCAGAAACTTGTTTGTGATGTGTGTCCTCAACTCACGGAGTTGAACATTTCGTTTGACAGAGCAGTTTGGAAACACGATTTTTGTAGAATCTGCAAGTGGATATTTGGATGGCTTTGTGGATTTCGTTGGAAACGGGAGTATCTTCATAGACAACCTAGACAGTAACATGCTCAGAAACTGTTTTGTGATATCTGCATTCACGTCACAGAGTTGAACATTCCCTTTCATAGAGCAGGTTTGAAACACACTTTCTGTAGTATCTGGATGTGGGCACTTGGAGCGCTTGGACGCTTATGGTGAAAAAGGACATATCGTCCCATAAAAACTGGACAGAAGCATTCTCACAAACTGCTTTGTGACGTATGTCTTCAACTAACAGAGTTGAACATTTCTATTCACAGAGCAGTCTTGAAAGACTCTTTTGGAGTATCTGCTAGTGGATATTTGGAGAGCTTTAAGGATTTCATTGGAAACCGGAATATCTTCAGGTAAAATCTAGACAGAGGCATTCTCAGAAACTTCTTCGTAATGTGTGTCCTCAACTAACAGTGTACAACCTATCTTTTGATACAGCACGTTGGAAACACTCTTTTTATAGAATCTGCAAGTGGATAGTTGGATAGCTCTAACGATTTCGTTGGAAACGGGAATACCTTCATATAAAATCTAGACAGTGGCACTCTCAGAAACTGCTTTGTGATATCTGCATTCAAGCCACAGAGTTGAACATTTCCCTTCCTAAAGCAGGTTTGAAACACTCTTTTTGTCGTATCTGGAAGTGGACATTTGGAGCACTTTGACGCCTTTGGTGAAAAAGGAAATGTCTTCCCATGAAAACTAGACAGAAGCATTCTAAGAAACATTTTTGGGATATATGTACTGAACTAAGAGAGATGAACCTTTCTCTTTATAGATCAGTTTTGGAAAGCTCTTTATGTGGAATCTGCAGATGGATATTCGGATAGCTCTGAGGATTTCGTTGGAGACGGGAATACATAAAGAAAGTAGACAGCAAGCATTCTCGGGAGATTCTTTGTGATGTTTGCTTTTAAGTCACAGAGTTGAATATTCCCTTCAATAGAGCAGGTTTGAAACACTCTTTCTGTAGTATCTGGAAGTGGACATTTCGATCGATTTCAGGCCTATGTTGAAAAAGGAAATATCGTAACATAAAGAATAGACAGAAGCATTCTCAGAAACGTCTTTGTGATGTGTGTCCTCAACTAACAGAGTTCAACATTTCTTATGATACAGCAGTTTGGAAACACTCTTTTTATAGAATTTGCAAGTTGATACATGGATAGCCCTAACTATTTCGTTGGAAACGGGAATATCTTCATATAAAACCGAGACAGAAGCACTCTCAGAAACTACTTTGTGATATCTGCATTGATATCAGAGAGTTGAATATTCCCTTTCTAAGGGCAGGCTTGAAAGCGTCTTTTCGTGGAATCTGCGGGAGGATATTTGGATAGCTTTGAGGTTTACGTTGGAAACCGGATTACATATACAAAGTAGACAGCAGCATTCTCAGAAGCTTCTTTATGATGTTTGCGTTCAAGTCACAGAGTTGAACGTTCCCTTTCATAGAGCAGGTTTCAAACCCTCTTTCTGCAGTATCTGGAAGTGGACATTTCGAGCGCTTTCAGGCCTATGGTGAACAAGGAAATATCTTCCCATGCAAACTAGACAGAAGCATTCGCAGAAACTTGTTTGTGATGTGTGTCCTCAACTCACAGAGTTGAACATTTCGTTTGACAGAGCAGTTTGGAAACACGATTTTTGTAGAATCTGCAAGTGGATATTTGGATGGCTTTGTGGATTTCGTTGGAAACGGGAGTATCTTCATAGAAAACCTAGACAGTAACATTCTCAGAAACGGCTTTGTGATATCCGCATTCACGTCACAGGAGTTGAACATTCCCTTTCATAGAGCAGGTTTGAAACACCCTTTCTGAAGTATCTGGATGTGGGCACTTGGAGCTCTTGGACGCTTATGGTGAAAAAGGAAATATCGTCCCATAAAACCTAGACAGAAGCATTCTCACAAACTGCTTTGTGACGTATGTCTTCAACTAACAGAGTTGAACATTTCTATTCACAGAGCAGTTTTGAAAGACTCTTTTGGAGTATCTGCTAGTGGATATTTGGAGAGCTTTAAGGATTTCATTGGAAACCGGAATATCTTCAGGTAAAATCTAGACAGAGGCATTCTCAGAAACTTCTTCGTAATGTGTGTCCTCAACTAACAGTGTACAACCTATCTTTTGATACAGCACGTTGGAAACACTCTTTTTATAGAATCTGCAAGTGGATAGTTGGATAGCTCTAACGATTTCGTTGGAAACGGGAATACCTTCATATAAAATTTAGACAGTGGCACTCTCAGAAACTGCTTTGTGATATCTGCATTCAAGCCACAGAGTTGAACATTTCCCTTCCTAAAGCAGGTTTGAAACACTCTTTTTGTCGTATCTGGAAGTGGACATTTGGAGCAATTTGACGCCTTTGTTGAAAAAGGAAATGTCTTCCCATCAAAACTAGACAGAAGCATTCTAAGAAACATTTTTGAGATATATGTACTCAACTAACAGAGTTGAACCTTCCTCTTTATAGATCAGTTTTGGAAAGCTCTTTATGTGGAATCTGCAAGTGGATATTCGGATAGCTCTGAGGATATCGCTGGAGACGGGAATACATAAAGAAAGTAGACAGCAGCATTCTCGGGAGATTCTTTGTGATGTTTGCTTTGAAGTCACAGAGTTGAATATTCCCTTCAATAGAGCAGGTTTGAAACACTCTTTCTGTAGTATCTGGAAGTGGACATTTCGATCGATTTCAGGCCTATGTTGAAAAAGGAAATATCTTAACATAAAAACTAGACAGAAGCATTCTCAGAAACGTCTTTGTGATGTGTGTCCTCAACTAACAGAGTTCAACCTTTCTTATGATACAGCAGTTGGGAAACACTCTTTTTATAGAATTTGCAAGCTGATACATGGATAGCCCTAACTATTTCGTTGGAAACGGGAATATCTTCACATAAAACCTAGACAGAAGCACTCTCAGAAACTACTTTGTGATATCTGCATTGATATCAGAGAGTTGAATATTCCCTTTCTAAGGGCAGGCTTGAAAGCGTCTTTTCGTGGAATCTGCAGGAGGATATTTGGATAGCTTTGAGGGTTACGTTGGAAACGGGATTACATGTACAAAGCAGACAGCAGCATTCTCAGAAGCTTCTTTATGATGTTTGCGTTCAAGTCACACAGTTGAACGTTCCCTTTCATAGAGCAGGTTTCAAACCCTCTTTCTGCAGTATCTGGAAGTGGACATTTCGAGCGCTTTCAGGCCTATGGTGAACAAGGTAAATATCTTCCCATGCAAACTAGACAGAAGCATTCGCAGAAACTTGTTTGTGATGTGTGTCCTCAACTCACAGAGTTGAACATTTCGTTTGACAGAGCAGTTTGGAAACACGATTTTTGTAGAATCTGCAAGTGGATATTTGGATGGCTTTGTGGATTTTGTTGGAAACGGGAGTATCTTCATAGAAAACCTAGACAGTAACATTCTCAGAAACGGCTTTGTGATATCCGCATTCACGTCACAGAGTTGAACATTCCCTTTCACGGAGCAGGTTTGAAACACCCTTTCTGTAGTATCTGGATGTGGGCACTTGGAGCGCTTGGAGGCTTATGGTGAAAAAGGAAATATCGTCCCATAAAAACTAGACAGAAGCATTCTCACAAACTGCTTTGTGACGTATGTCTTCAACTAACAGAGTTGAACATTTCTATTCACAGAGCAGTTTTGAAAGACTCTTTTGGAGTATCTGCTGCTGGATATTTGGAGAGCTTTAATGATTTCATTGGAAACCGGAATATCTTCAGGTAAAATCTAGACAGAGGCATTCTCAGAAACTTCTTCGTCATGTGTGTCCTCAACTAACAGTGTACAACCTATCTTTTGATACAGCACGTTGGAAACACTCTTTTTATAGAATCTGCAAGTGGATAGTTGGATAGCTCTAACGATTTCGTTGGAAACGGGAGTACCTTCATATAAAATCTAGACAGTGGTACTCTCAGAAACTGCTTTGTGATATCTGCATTCAAGCCACAGAGTTGAACATTTCCCTTCCTAAAGCAGGTTTGAAACACTCTTTTTGTCGTATCTGGAAGTGGACATTTGGAGCACTTTGACGCCTTTGGTGAAAAAGGAAATGTCTTCCCATGAAAACTAGACAGAAGCATTCTAAGAAACACTTTTGGGATATATGTACTCAACTAACAGAGTTGAACCTTTCTCTTTATAGATCAGTTTTGGAAAGCTCTTTATGTGGAATCTGCAGATGGATATTCGGATAGCTCTGAGGATTTCGTTGGAGACGGGAATACATAAAGAAAGTAGACAGCAGCATTCTCAGGAGATTCTTTGTGATGTTTGCTTTTAAGTCACACAGTTGAATATTCCCTTCAATAGAGGAGGTTTGAAACACTCATTCTGTAGTATCTGGAAGTGGACATTTCGATCGATTTCAGGCCTATGTTGAAAAAGGAAATACCTTAACATAAAAACTAGACAGAAGCATTCTCAGAAACGTCTTTGTGATGTGTGTCCTCAACTAACAGAGTTCAACCTTTCTTATGATACAGCAGTTGGGAAACACTCTTTTTATAGAATTTGCAAGTTGATACATGGATAGCCCTAACTATTTCGTTGGAAACGGGAATATCTTCACATAAAACCTAGACAGAAGCACTCTCAGAAACTACTTTGTGATATCTGCATTGATATCAGAGAGTTGAATATTCCCTTTCTAAGGGCAGGCTTGAAAGCGTCTTTTCGTGGAATCTGCAGGAGGATATTTGGATAGCTTGGAGGGATACGTTGGAAACGGGATTACATATACAAAGTAGACAGCAGCATTCTCAGAAGCTTCTTTATGATGTTTGCGTTTAAGTCACAGAGTTGAACGTTCCCTTTCATAGAGCAGGTTTCAAACCCTCTTTCTGCAGTATCTGGAAGTGGGCATTTCGAGCGCTTTCAGGCCCATGGTGAACAAGGAAATATCTTCCCATGAAAACTAGACAGAAGCATTCGCAGAAACTTGTTTGTGATGTGTGTCCTCAACTCACGGAGTTGAACATTTCGTTTGACAGAGCAGTTTGGAAACACGATTTTTGTAGAATCTGCAAGTGGATATTTCGATGGCTTTGTGGATTTCGTTGGAAACGGGAGTATCTTCATAGACAACCTAGACAGTAACATTCTCAGAAACGGCTTTGTGATATCCGCATTCACGTCACAGAGTTGAACATTCCCTTTCATAGAGCAGGTTTGAAACACCCTTTCTGTAGTATCTGGATGTGGGCACTTGGAGCGCTTGGACGCTTATGGTGAAAAAGGAAATATCGTCCCATAAAAACTAGACAGAAGCATTCTCAGAAACTGCTTTGTGACGTATGTCTTCAACTAACAGAGTTGAACATTTCTATTTACAGAGCAGTTTTGAAAGACTCTTTTGGAGTATCTGCTAGTGGATATTTGGAGAGCTTTAAGGATTTCATTGGAAACCGGAATATCTTCAGGTAAAATCTAGACAGAGGCATTCTCAGAAACTTCTTCGTAATGTGTGTCCTCAACTAACAGTGTACAACCTATCTTTTGATACAGCACGTTGGAAACACTCTTTTTATAGAATCTGCAAGTGGATAGTTGGATAGCTCTAACGATTTCGTTGGAAACGGCAATACCTTCATATAAAATCTAGACAGTGGCACTCTCAGAAACTGCTTTGTGATATCTGCATTCAAGCCACAGAGTTGAACATTTCCCTTCCTAAAGCAGGTTTGAAACACTCTTTTTGTCGTATCTGGAAGTGGACATTTGGAGCACTTTGGCGCCTTTGGTGAAAAAGGAAATGTCTTCCCATGAAAACTAGACAGAAGCATTCTAAGAAGCATTTTTGGGATATATGTACTCAACTAACAGAGTTGAACCTTTCTCTTTATAGATCAGTTTTGGAAAGCTCTTTATGTGGAATCTGCAGATGGATATTCGGATAGCTCTGAGGATTTCGTTGGAGACGGGAATACATAAAGAAAGTAGACAGCAGCATTCTCGGGAGATCCTTTGTGATGTTTGCTTTGAAGTCACAGAGTTGAATATTCCCTTCAATAGAGCAGGTTTGAAACACTCTTTCTGTAGTATCTGGAAGTGGCCATTTCGATCGATTTCAGGCCTATGTTGAAAAAGGAAATATCTTAACATAAAAACTAGACAGAAGCATTCTCAGAAACGTCTTTGAGACGTGTGTCCTCAACTAACAGAGTTCAACCTTTCTTATGATACAGCAGTTTGGAAACACTCTTTTTATAGAATTTGCAAGTTGATACATGGATAGCCCTAACTATTTCGTTGGAAACGGGAATATCTTCATATAAAACCTAGACAGAAGCACTCTCAGAAACTACTTTGTGATATCTGCATTGATATCAGAGAGTTGAATATTCCCTTTCTAAGGGCAGGCTTGAAAGCGTCTTTTCGTGGAATCTGCAGGAGGATATTTGGATAGCTTTGAGGGTTACGTTGGAAACGGGATTACATATACAAAGTAGACAGCAGCATTCTCAGAAGCTTCTTTATGATGTTTGCGTTCAAGTCACAGAGTTGAACGTTCCCTTTCATAGAGCAGGTTTCAAACCCTCTTTCTGCAGTATCTGGAAGTGGACATTTCGAGCGCTTTCAGGCCTATGGTGAACAAGGAAATATCTTCCCATGCAAACTAGACAGAAGCATTCGCAGAAACTTGTTTCTGATGTGTGTCCTCAACTCACGGAGTTGAACATTTCGTTTGACAGAGCAGTTCAGAAACACGATTTTTGTAGAATCTTCAAGTGGATATTTGGATGGCTTTGTGGATTTCGTTGGAAACGGGAGTATCTTCATAGACAACCTAGACAGTAACATGCTCAGAACCTGCTTTGTGATATCTGCATTCACGTCACAGAGTTGAACATTCCCTTTCATAGAGCAGGTTTGAAACACACTTTCTGTAGTATCTGGATGTGGGCACTTGGAGCGCTTGGACGCTTATGGTGAAAAAGAACATATCGTCCCATAAAAACTGGACAGAAGCATTCTCACAAACTGCTTTGTGACGTATGTCTTCAACTAACAGAGTTGAACATTTCTATTCACAGAGCAGTTTTGAAAGACTCTTTTGGAGTATCTGCTAGTGGATATTTGGAGAGCTTTAAGGATTTCATTGGAAACCGGAATATCTTCAGGTAAAATCTAGACAGAGGCATTCTCAGAAACTTCTTCATAATGTGTGTCCTCAACTAACAGTGTACAACCTATCTTTTGATACAGCACGTTGGAAACACTCTTTTTATAGAATCTGCAAGTGGATAGTTGGATAGCTCTAACGATTTCTTTGGAAACGGGAATACCTTCATATAAAATCTAGACAGTGGCACTCTCAGAAACTGCTTTGTGATATCTGCATTCAAGCCACAGAGTTGAACATTTCCCTTCCTAAAGCAGGTTTGAAACACTCTTTCTGTCGTATCTGGAAGTGGACATTTGGAGCACTTTGACGCCTTTGGTGAAAAAGGAAATGTCTTCCCATGAAAACTAGACAGAAGCATTCTAAGAAACATTTTTGGGATATATGTACTCAACTAACAGAGTTGAACCTTTCTCTTTATAGATCAGTTTTGGAAAGCTCTTTATGTGGAATCTGCAGATGGATATTCGGATAGCTCTGAGGATTTCGTTGGAGATGGGAATACATAAAGAAAGTAGACAGCAGCATTCTCGGGAGATTCTTTGTGATGTTTGCTTTTAAGTCACAGAGTTGAATATTCCCTTCAATAGAGCAGGTTTGAAACACTCTTTCTGTAGTATCTGGAAGTGGACATTTCGATCGATTTCAGGCCTATGTTGAAAAAGGAAATATCTTAACATAAAAACTAGACAGAAGCATTCTCAGAAACGTCTTTGTGATGTGTGTCCTCAACTAACAGAGTTCAACCTTTCTTATGATACAGCAGTTTGGAAACACTCTTTTTATAGAATTTGCAAGTTGATACATGGATAGCCCTAACTATTTCGTTGGAAACGGGAATATCTTCATATAAAACCTAGGCAGAAGCACTCTCAGAAACTACTTTGTGATATCTGCATTGATATCAGAGAGTTGAATATTCCCTTTCTAAGGGATGGCTTGAAAGCGTCTTTTCGTGGAATCTGCGGGAGGATATTTGGATAGCTTTGAGGGTTACGTTGGAAACAGGATTACATATACAAAGTAGACAGCAGCATTCTCAGAAGCTTCTTTATGATGTTTGCGTTTAAGTCACAGAGTTGAACGTTCCCTTTCATAGAGCAGGTTTCAAACCCTCTTTCTGCAGTATCTGGAAGTGGACATTTCGAGCGCTTTCAGGCCCATGGTGAACAAGGAAATATCTTCCCATGCAAACTAGACAGAAGCATTCGCAGAAACTTGTTTGTGATGTGTGTCCTCAACTCACAGAGTTGAATATTTCGTTTGACAGAGCAGTTTGGAAACACGATTTTTGTAGAATCTGCAAGTGGATATTTGGATGGCTTTGTGGATTTCGTTCGAAACGGGAGTATCTTCATAGACAATCTAGACAGTAACATTCTCAGAAACGGATTTGTGATATCCGCATTCATGTCACAGAGTTGAACATTCCCTTTCACAGAGCAGGTTTGAAACACCCTTTCTGTAGTATCTGGATGTGGGCACTTGGAGCGCTTGGAGGCTTATGGTGAAAAAGGAAATATCGTCCCATAAAAACTAGACAGAAGCATTCTCACAAACTGCTTTGTGACGTATGTCTTCAACTAACAGAGTTGAACATTTCTATTTACAGAGCAGTTTTGAAAGACTCTTTTGGAGTATCTGCTAGTGGATATTTGGAGAGCTTTAAGGATTTCATTGGAAACCGGAATATCTTCAGGTAAAATCTAGACAGAGGCATTCTCAGAAACTTCTTTGTCATGTGTGTCCTCAACTAACAGTGTACAACCTATCTTTTGATACAGCACGTTGGAAACACTCTTTTTATAGAATCTGCAAGTGGATATTTGGATAGCTCTAACGATTTCGTTGGAAACGGGAATACCTTCATATAAAATATAGACAGTGGCACTCTCAGAAACTGCTTTGTGATATCTGCATTCAAGCCACAGAGTTGAACATTTCCCTTCCTAAAGCAGGTTTGAAACACTCTTTCTGTCGTATCTGGAAGTGGACATTTGGAGCACTTTGACGCCTTTGGTGAAAAAGGAAATGTCTTCCCATGAAAACTAGACAGAAGCATTCTAAGAAACATTTTTGGGATATATGTACTCAACTAACAGATTTGAACCTTTCTCTTTATAGATCAGTTTTGGAAAGCTCTTTATGTGGAATCTGCAGATGGATATTCGGATAGCTCTGAGGATTTCGTTGGAGACGGGAATACATAAAGAAAGTAGACAGCAGCATTCTCAGGAGATTCTTTGTGATGTTTGCTTTTAAGTCACAGAGTTGAATATTCCCTTCAATAGAGCAGGTTTGAAACACTCTTTCTGTAGTATCTGGAAGTCGACATTTCGATCGATTTCAGGCCTATGTTGAAAAAGGAAATACCTTAACATCAAAACTAGACAGAAGCATTCTCAGAAACGTCTTTGTGATGTGTGTCCTCAACTAACAGAGTTCAACCTTTCTTATGATACAGCAGTTTGGAAACACTCTTTTTATAGAATTTGCAAGTTGATACATGGATAGCCCTAACTATTTCGTTGGAAACGGGAATATCTTCATAGAAAACCTAGACAGAAGCACTCTCAGAAACTACTTTGTGATATCTGCGTTGATATCAGAGAGTTGAATATTCCCTTTCTAAGGGCAGGCTTGAAAGCGTCTTTTCGTGGAATCTGCAGGAGGATATTTGGATAGCTTTGAGGGTTACGTTGGAAACGGGATTACATATACAAAGTAGACAGCAGCATTCTCAGAAGCTTCTTTATGATGTTTGCGTTTAAGTCACAGAGTTGAACGTTCCCTTTCATAGAGCAGGTTTCAAACCCTCTTTCTGCAGTATCTGGAAGTGGATATTTCGAGCGCTTTCAGGCCTATGGTGAACAAGGAAATATCTTCCCATGCAAACTAGACAGAATCATTCGCAGAAACTTGTTTGTGATGTGTGTCCTCAACTCACAGAGTTGAACATTTCGTTTGACAGAGCAGTTTGGAAACACGATTTTTGTAGAATCTGCAAGTGGATATTTGGATGGCTTTGTGGATTTCGTTGGAAACGGGAGTATCTTCATAGACAACCTAGACAGTAACATGCTCAGAAACTGCTTTGTGATATCTGCATTCACGTCACAGAGTTGAACATTCCCTTTCATAGAGCAGGTTTGAAACACACTTTCTGTAGCATCTGGATGTGGGCACTTGGAGCGCTTGGACACTTATGGTGAAAAAGGACATATCGTCCCATAAAAACTGGACAGAAGCATTCTCACAAACTGCTTTGTGACGTATGTCTTCAACTAACAGATTTGAACATTTCTATTCACAGAGCCGTTTTGAAAGACTCTTTTGGAGTATCTGCTAGTGGATATTTGGAGAGCTTTAAGGATTTCATTGGAAACCGGAATATCTTCAGGTAAAATCTAGACAGAGGCATTCTCAGAAACTTCTTTGTAATGTGTGTCCTCAACTAACAGTGTACAACCTATCTTTTGATACAGCACGTTGGAAACACTCTTTTTATAGAATCTGCAAGTGGATAGTTGGATAGCTCTAACGACTTCGTTGGAAACGGGAATACCTTCATATAAAATCTAGACAGTGGCACTCTCAGAAACTGCTTTGTGATATCTGCATTCAAGCCAAAGAGTTGAACATTTCCCTTCCTAAAGCAGGTTTGAAACACTCTTTTTGTCGTATCTGGAAGTGGACATTTGGAGCACTTTGACGCCTTTGGTGAAATAGGAAAGGTCTTCCCATCAAAACTAGGCAGAAGCATTCTAAGAAACATTTTTGGGATATATGTACTCAACTAACAGAGTTGAACCTTTCTCTTTATAGATCAGTTTTGGAAAGCTCTTTATGTGGAATCTGCAGATGGATATTCGGATAGCTCTGAGGATTTCGTTGGAGACGGGAATACATAAAGAAAGTAGACAGCAGCATTCTCAAGAGATCCTTTGTGATGTTTGCTTTTAAGTCACAGAGTTGAATATTCCCTTCAATAGAGCAGGTTTGAAACACTCTTTCTGTAGTATCTGGAAGTGGACATTTCGATCGATTACAGACCTATGTTGAAAAAGGAAATATCTTAACATAAAAACTAGACAGAAGCATTCTCAGAAACGTCTTTGTGATGTGTGTCCTCAACTAACAGAGTTCAACCTTTCTTATGATACAGCAGTTTGGAAACACTCTTTTTATAGAATTTGCAAGTTGATACATGGATAGCCCTAACTATTTCGTTGGAAACGGGAATATCTTCATATAAAACCTAGGCAGAAACACTCTCAGAAACTACTTTGTGATATCTGCATTGATATCAGAGAGTTGAATATTCCCTTTCTAAGGGCAGGTTTGAAAGCGTCTTTTCGTGGAATCTGCAGGAGGATATTTGGATAGCTTTGAGGATTACGTTGGAAACGGGATTACATATACAAAGTAGACAGCAGCATTCTCAGAAGCTTCTTTATGATGTTTGCGTTCAAGTCACAGAGTTGAACGTTCCGTTTCATAGAGCAGGTTTCAAACCCTCTTTCTGCAGTATCTGGAAGTGGACATTTCGAGCGCTTTCAGGCCTATGGTGAACAAGGAAATATCTTCCCATGCAAACTAGACAGAAGCATTCGCAGAAACTTGTTTGTGATGTGTGTCCTCAACTCACAGAGTTGAACATTTCGTTTGACAGAGCAGTTTGGAAACACGATTTTTGTAGAATCTGCAAGTGGATATTTGGATGGCTTTGTGGATTTCGTTGGAAACGGGAGTATCTTCATAGAAAACCTAGACAGTAACATTCTCAGAAACGGCTTTGTGATATCCGCATTCACGTCACAGAGTTGAACATTCCCTTTCACAGAGCAGGTTTGAAACACCCTTTCTGTAGTATCTGGATGTGGGCACTTGGAGCGCTTGGACGCTTATGGTGAAAAAGGAAATATCGTCCCATAAAAACTAGACAGAAGCATTCTCACAAACTGCTTTGTGACGTATGTCTTCAACTAACAGAGCTGAACATTTCTATTTACAGAGCAGTTTTGAAAGACTCTTTTGGAGTATCTGCTAGTGGATATTTGGAGAGCTTTAAGGATTTCAGTGGAAACCGGAATGTCTTCAGGTAAAATCTAGACAGAGGCATTCTCAGAAACTTCTTCGTAATGTGTGTCCTCAACTAACAGTGTACAACCTATCTTTTGATACAGCACGTTGGAAACACTCTTTTTATAGAATCTGCAAGTGGATATTTGGATAGCTCTAACGATTTCGTTGGAAACGGGAATACCTTCATATAAAATCTAAACAGTGGCACTCTCAGAAACTGCTTTGTGATATCTGCATTCAAGCCACAGGAGTTGAACATTTCCCTTCCTAAAGCAGGTTTGAAACACTCGTTTTGTCGTATCTGGAAGTGGACATTTGGAGCACGTTGACACCTTTGGTGAAAAAGGAAATGTCTTCCCGTCAAAACTAGACAGAAGCATTCTAAGAAACATTTTTGGGATATATGTACTCAACTAACAGAGTTGGACCTTTCTCTTTATAGATCAGTTTTGGAAAGCTCTTTATGTGGAATCGGCAGATGGATATTCGGATAGCTCTGAGGATTTCGTTGGAGACGGGAATACATAAAGAAAGTAGACAGCAGCAATCTCAGGAGATTCTTTGTGATGTTTGCTTTTAAGTCACAGAGTTGAATATTCCCTTCAATAGAGCAGGTTTGAAACACTCTTTCTGTAGTATCCGGAAGTGGACATTTCGATCGATTTCAGGCCTATGTTGAAAAAGGAAATACCTTAACATAAAAACTAGACAGAAGCATTCTCAGAAACGTCTTTGTGATGTGTGTCCTCAACTAACAGAGTTCAACCTTTCTTATGATACAGCAGTTTGGAAACACTCTTTTTATAGAATTTGCAAGTTGATACATGGATAGCCCTAACTATTTCGTTGGAAACGGGAATATCTTCATATAAAACCTAGGCAGAAGCACTCTCAGAAACTACTTTGTGATATCTGCATTGATATCAGAGAGTTGAATATTCCCTTTCTAAGGGCAGGCTTGAAAGCGTCTTTTTGTGGAATCTGCAGGAGGATATTTGGATAGCTTTGAGGGTTACGTTGGAAACGGGATTACATATACAAAGTAGACAGCAGCATTCTCAGAAGCTTCGTCATGATGTTTGCGTTTAAGTCACAGAGTTGAACGTTCCCTTTCATAGAGCAGGTTTCAAACCCTCTTTCTGCAGTATCTGGAAGTGGACATTTCGAGCGCTTTCAGGCCTATGGTGAACAAGGAAATATCTTGCCCATGCAAACTAGACAGAAGCATTCGCAGAAACTTGATTGTGATGTGTGTCCTCAACTCACGGAGTTGAACATTTCATTTGACAGAGCAGTTTGGAAACACGATTTTTGTAGAATCTGCAAGTGGATATTTGGATGGCTTTGTGGATTTCGTTGGAAACGGGAGTATCTTCACAGACAACCTAGACAGTAACATTCTCAGAAACTGCTTTGTGATATCTGCATTCACGTCACAGAGTTGAACATTCCCTTTCATAGAGCAGGTTTGAAACACACTTTCTGTAGTATCTGGATGTGGGCACTTGGAGCGCTTGGAC
The DNA here is from genome assembly GCF_000001405.40 of Homo sapiens. Taxonomy (NCBI): domain Eukaryota; kingdom Metazoa; phylum Chordata; class Mammalia; order Primates; family Hominidae; genus Homo; species Homo sapiens. Next base: position 15,665,459 of record NC_000018.10, read on the forward strand.
GCTTATGGTGAAAAAGGACAGATCGTCCCATAAAATCTGGACAGAAGCATTCTCACAAACTGCTTTGTGACGTATGTCGTCAGCTAACAGAGTTGAACATTTCTATTCACAGAGCAGTTTTGAAAGACTCCTTTGGAGTATCTGCTAGTGGATATGTGGAGAGCTTTAAGGATTTCATCGGAAACCGGAATATCCTCAGGTAAAATCTAGACAGAGGCATTCTCAGAAACTTCTTTGTAATGTGTGTCCTCAACTAACAGTGTACAACCTATCTTTTGATACAGCACGTTGGAAACACTCTTTTTATAGAATCTGCAAGTGGATATTTGGATAGCTCTAACGATTTCGTTGGAAACGGGAATACCTTCATATAAAATCTAGACAGTGGCACTCGCAGAAACTGCTTTGTGATATCTGCATTCAAGCCACAGAGTTGAACATTTCCCTTCCTAAAGCAGGTTTGAAACACTCTTTCTGTCGTATCTGGAAGTGGACATTTGGAGCACTTTGACGCCTTTGGTGAAAAAGGAAATGTCTTCCCATCAAAACTAGACAGAAGCATTCTAAGAAACATTTTTGGGATATATGTACACAACTAACAGAGTTGAACCTTTCTCTTTATAGACCAGTTTTGGAAAGCTCTTTATGTGGAATCTGCAGATGGATATTCGGATAGCTCTGAGGATTTCGTTGGAGACGGGAATACATAAAGAATGTAGACAGCAGCATTCTCGGGAGATTCTTTGTGATGTTTGCTTTTAAGTCACAGAGTTGAATATTCCCTTCAATAGAGCAGGTTTGAAACACTCTTTCTGTAGTATCTGGAAGTGGCCATTTCGATCGATTTCAGGCCTATGTTGAAAAAGGAAATATCTCTACATAAAAACTAGACAGAAGCATTCTCAGAAACGTCTTTGTGATGTGTGCCCTCATCTAACAGAGTTCAACCTTTCTTATGATACAGCAGTTTGGAAACACTCTTTTTATAGAATTTGCAAGTTGATACATGGATAGCCCTAACTATTTCGTTGGAAACGGGAATATCTTCATATACAACCTAGACAGAAGCACTCTGAGAAACTACTTTGTGATATCTGCATTGATATCAGAGAGTTGAATATTCCCTTTCTAAGGGCAGGCTTGAAAGCGTCTTTTCGTGGAATCTGCAGGAGGATATTTGGATAGCTTTGAGGGTTACGTTGGAAACGGGATTACATGTACAAAGCAGACAGCAGCATTCTCAGAAGCTTCTTTATGATGTTTGCGTTTAAGTCACAGAGGTGAACGTTCCCTTTCATAGAGCAGGTTTCAAACCCTCTTTCTGCAGTATCTGGAAGTGGACATTTCGAGCGCTTTCAGGCCCATGGTGAACAAGGAAATATCTTCCTATGCAAACTAGACAGAAGCATTCGCAGAAACTTGTTTGCGATGTGTGTCCTCAACTCACGGAGTTGAACATTTCGTTTGACAGAGCAGTTTGGAAACACGATTTTTGTAGAATCTGCAAGTGGATATTTGGATGGCTTTGTGGATTTCGTTGGAAACGGGAGTATCTTCATAGACAACCTAGACAGTAACATGCTCAGAAACTGCTTTCTGATATCTGCCTTCATGTCACAGAGTTGAACATTCCCTTTCATAAAGCAGGTTTGAAACACACTTTCTGTAGTATCTGGATGTGGGCACTTGGAGCGCTTGGACGCTTATGGTGAAAAAGGACAGATCGTCCCATAAAAACTGGACAGAAGCATTCTCACAAACTGCTTTGTGACGTATGTCGTCAGCTAACAGAGTTGAGCATTTCTATTCACAGAGCAGTTTTGAAAGACTCTTTTGGAGTATCTGCTAGTGGATATGTGGAGAGCTTTAAGGATTTCACTGGAAACCGGAATATCTTCAGGTAAAATCTAGACAGAGGCATTCTCAGAAACTTCTTCGTAATGTGTGTCCTCAACTAACAGTGTACAACCTATCTTTTGATACAGCACGTTGGAAACACTCTTTTTATAGAATCTGCAAGTGGATAGAATCTGCAAGTGGATAGTTTCCAACGATTTCGTTGGAAACGGGAATACCTTCATATAAAATCTAGACAGTGGCACTCGCAGAAACTGCTTTGTGATATCTGCATTCAAGCCACAGAGTTGAACATTTCCCTTCCTAAAGCAGGTTTGAAACACTCTTTCTGTCGTATCTGGAAGTGGACATTTGGAGCACTTTGACGCCTTTGGTGAAAAAGGAAATGTCTTCCCATCAAAACTAGACAGAAGCATTCTAAGAAACATTTTTGGGATATATGTACTCAAGTAACAGAGTTGAACCTTTCTCTTTATAGATCAGTTTTGGAAAGCTCTTTATGTGGAATCTGCAGATGGATATTCGGATAGCTCTGAGGATTTCGTTGGAGACGGGAATACATAAAGAATGTAGACAGCAGCATTCTCGGGAGATTCTTTGTGATGTTTGCTTTGAAGTCACAGAGTTGAATATTCCCTTCAATAGAGCAGGTTTGAAACACTCTTTCTGTAGTATCTGGAAGTGGCCATTTCGATCGATTTCAGGCCTATGTTGAAAAAGGAAATATCTTAACATAAAAACTAGACAGAAGCATTCTCAGAAACGTCTTTGTGATGTGTGTCCTCAACTAACAGATTTCAACCTTTCTTATGATACAGCAGTTTGGAAACACTCTTTTTATAGAATTTGCAAGTTGATACATGGATAGCCCTAACTATTTCGTTGGAAACGGGAATATCTTCATATAAAACCTAGACAGAAGCACTCTCAGAAACTACTTTGTGATATCTGCATTGATATCAGAGAGTTGAATATTCCCTTTCTAAGGGCAGGCTTGAAAGCGTCTTTTTGTGGAATCTGCAGGAGGATATTTGGATAGCTTGGAAGGTTACGTTGGAAACGGGATTACATATACAAAGTAGACAGCAGCATTCTCAGAAGCTTCTTTGTGATGTTTGCGTTTAAGTCACAGAGTTGAACGTTCCCTTTCATAGAGCAGGTTTCAAACCCTCTTTCTGCAGTATCTGGAAGTGGACATTTCGAGCGCTTTCAGGCCCATGGTGAACAAGGAAATATCTTCCCATGCAAACTAGACAGAAGCCTTCGCAGAAACTTGTTTGTGATGTGTGTCCTCAACTCACAGAGTTGAACATTTCGTTTGACAGAGCAGTTTGGAAACACGATTTTTGTAGAATCTGCAAGTGGATATTTGGATGGCTTTGTGGATTTCGTTGGAAACGGGAGTATCTTCATAGAAAACCTAGACAGTAACATTCTCAGAAACGGCTTTGTGATATCCGCATTCACGTCACAGAGTTGAACATTCCCTTTCATAGAGCAGGTTTGAAACACACTTTCTGTAGTATCTGGATGTGGGCACTTGGAGCGCTTGGACGCTTATGGTGAAAAAGGAAATATCGTCCCATAAAACCTAGACAGAAGCATTCTCACAAACTGCTTTGTGACGTATGTCGTCAGCTAACAGAGTTGAGCGTTTCTATTCACAGAGCAGTTTTGAAAGACTCTTTTGGAGTATCTGCTAGTGGATATGTGGAGAGCTTTAAGGATTTCACTGGAAACCGGAATATCTTCAGGTAAAATCTAGACAGAGGCATTCTCAGAAACTTCTTTGTAATGTGTGTCCTCAACTAACAGTGTACAACCTATCTTTTGTTACAGCACGTTGGAAACACTCTTTTTATAGAATCTGCAAGTGGATATTTGGATAGCTCTAACGATTTCGTTGGAAACGGGAATACCTTCATATAAAATCTAGACAGTGGCACTCGCAGAAACTGCTTTGTGATATCTGCATTCAAGTCACAGAGTTGAACATTTCCCTTCCTAAAGCAGGTTTGAAACACTCTTTCTGTCGTATCTGGAAGTGGACATTTGGAGCACTTTGACGCCTTTGGTGAAAAATGAAATGTCTTCCCATCAAAACTAGACAGAAGCATTCTAAGAAACATTTTTGGGATATATGTACTCAACTAACAGAGTTGAACCTTTCTCTTTATAGATCAGTTTTGGAAAGCTCTTTATGTGGAATCTGCAGATGGATATTCGGATAGCTCTGAGGATTTCGATGGAGACGGGAATACATAAAGAAAGTAGACAGCAGCAATCTCAGGAGATTCTTTGTGATGTTTGCTTTTAAGTCACAGAGTTGAATATTCCCTTCAATAGAGCAGGTTTGAAACACTCTTTCTGTAGTATCTGGAAGTGGACATTTCGATCGATTTCAGGCCTATGTTGAAAAAGGAAATACCTTAACATAAAAACTAGACAGAAGCATTCTCAGAAACGTCTTTGTGATGTGTGTCCTCAACTAACAGAGTTCAACCTTTCTTATGATACAGCAGTTTGGAAACACTCTTTTTATAGAATTTGCAAGTTGATACATGGATAGCCCTAACTATTTCGTTGGAAACGGGAATATCTTCATATAAAACCTAGGCAGAAGCACTCTCAGAAACTGCTTTGTGATATCTGCATTGATATCAGAGAGTTGAATATTCCCTTTCTAAGGGCAGGCTTGAAAGCATCTTTTCGTGGAATCTGCAGGAGGATATTTGGATAGCTTTGAGGGTTACGTTGGAAACGGGATTACATATACAAAGTAGACAGCAGCATTCTCAGAAGCTTCTTTGTGATGTTTGCGTTTAAGTCACAGAGTTGAACGTTCCCTTTCATAGAGCAGGTTTCAAACCCTCTTTCTGCAGTATCTGGAAGTGGACATTTCGAGCGCTTTCAGGCCCATGGTGAACAAGGAAATATCTTCCCATGCAAACTAGACAGAAGCATTCGCAGAAACTTGTTTGTGATGTGTGTCCTCAACTCACAGATTTGAACATTTCGTTTGACAGAGCAGTTTGGAAACACGATTTTTGTAGAATCTGCAAGTGGATATTTGGATGGCTTTGTGGATTTCGTTGGAAACGGGAGTATCTTCATAGATAACCTAGAGAGTAACATTCTCAGAAACGGCTTTGTGATATCCGCATTCACGTCACAGAGTTGAACATTCCCTTTCATAGAGCAGGTTTGAAACACACTTTCTGTAGTATCTGGATGTGGGCACTTGCAGCACTTGGACGCTTATGGTGAAAAAGGAAATATCGTCCCATAAAAACTAGACAGAAGCATTCTCACAAACTGCTTTGTGACGTATGTCTTCAACTAACAGAGTTGAACATTTCTATTCACAGAGCCGTTTTGAAAGACTCTTTTGGAGTGTCTGCTAGTGGATAATTGGAGAGCTTTAAGGATTTCAATGGAAACCGGAGTATCCTCAGGTAAAGTCTAGACAGAGGCATTCTCAGAAACTTCTTTGTAATGTGTGTCCTCAACTAACAGTGTACAACCTATCTTTTGATACAGCACGTTGGAAACACTCTTTTTATAGAATCTGCAAGTGGGTAGTTGGATAGCTCTAACGATTTCGTTGGAAACGGGAAGACCTTCATATAAAATCTAGACAGTGGCACTCTCAGAAACTGCTTTGTGATATCTGCATTCAAGCCACAGAGTTGAACATTTCCCTTCCTAAAGCAGGTTTGAAACACTCTTTTTGTCGTATCTGGAAGTAGACATTTGGAGCACTTTGACGCCTTTGGTGAAAAAGGAAATGTCTTCCCATGAAAACTAGACAGAAGCTTTCTAAGAAACATTTTTGGGATATATGTACACAACTAACAGAGTTGAACCTTTCTCTTTACAGATCAGTTTTGGAAAGCTCTTTATGTGGAATCTGCAGATGGATATTCGGATAGCTCTGAGGATTTCGTTGGAGACGGGAATACATAAAGAAAGTAGACAGCAGCATTCTCGGGAGATTCTTTGTGATGTTTGCTTTTAAGTCACAGAGTTGAATATTCCCTTCAATAGAGCAGGTTTGAAACACTCTTTCTGTAGTATCTGGAAGTGGACATTTCGATCGATTTCTGGCCTATGTTGAAAAAGGAAATATCTTAACATAAAAACTAGACAGAAGCATTCTCAGAAACGTCTTTGTGATGTGTGTCCTCAACTAACAGAGTTCAACCTTTCTTATGATACAGCAGTTGGGAAACACTCTTTTTATAGAATTTGCAAGTTGATACATGGATAGCCCTAACTATTTCGTTGGAAACGGGAATATCTTCACATAAAACCTAGACAGAAGCACTCTCAGAAACTACATTGTGATATCTGCATTGATATCAGAGAGTTGAATATTCCCTTTCTAAGGGCAGGCTTGAAAGCGTCTTTTCGTGGAATCTGCAGGAGGATATTTGGATAGCTTGGAGGGTTACGTTGGAAACGGGATTACATATACAAAGTAGACAGCAGCATTCTCAGAAGCTTCTTTGTGATGTTTGCGTTTAAGTCACAGAGTTGAACGTTCCCTTTCATAGAGCAGGTTTCAAACCCTCTTTCTGCAGTATCTGGAAGTGGACATTTCGAGCGCTTTCAGGCCCATGGTGAACAAGGAAATATCTTCCCATGCCAACTAGACAGAAGCATTCGCAGAAACTTGTTTGTGATGTGTGTCCTCAACTCACGGAGTTGAACATTTCGTTTGACAGAGCAGTTTGGAAACACGATTTTTGTAGAATCTGCAAGTGGATATTTGGATGGCTTTGTGGATTTCGTTGGAAACGGGAGTATCTTCACAGACAACCTAGACAGTAACATGCTCAGAAACTGCTTTGTGATATCTGCATTCACGTCACAGAGTTGAACATTCCCTTTCATAGAGCAGGTTTGAAACACACTTTCTGTAGTATCTGGATGTGGGCACTTGGAGCGCTTGGACGCTTATGGTGAAAAAGGACATATCGTCCCATAAAAACTGGACAGAAGCATTCTCACAAACTGCTTTGTGACGTATGTCTTCAACTAACAGAGTTGAACATTTCTATTCACAGAGCCGTTTTGAAAGACTCATTTGGAGTATCTGCTAGTGGATATTTGGAGAGCTTTAAGGATTTCATTGGAAACCGGAATATCTTCAGGTAAAATCTAGACAGAGGCATTCTCAGCAAACTTCTCTGTAATGTGTGTCCTCAACTAACAGTGTACAACCTATCTTTTGATACAGCACGTTGGAAACACTCTTTTTATAGAATCTGCAAGTGGATAGTTGGATAGCTCCAACGATTTCGTTGGAAACGGGAATACCTTCCTATAAAATCTAGACAGTGGCACTCGCAGAAACTGCTTTGTGATATCTGCATTCAAGCCACAGAGTTGAACATTTCCCTTCCTAAAGCAGGTTTGAAACACTCTTTCTGTCGTATCTGGAAGTGGACATTTGGAGCACTTTGACGCCTTTGGTGAAAAAGGAAATGTCTTCCCATCAAAACTAGACAGAAGCTTTCTAAGAAACATTTTTGGGATATATGTACTCAACTAACAGAGTTGAACCTTTCTCTTTATAGATCAGTTTTGGAAAGCTCTTTATGTGGAATCTGCAGATGGATATTCGGATAGCTCTGAGGATTTCGTTGGAGACGGGAATACATAAAGAAAGTAGACAGCAGCATTCTCGGGAGATTCTTTGTGATGTTTGCTTTTAAGTCACAGAGTTGAATATTCCCTTCAATAGAGCAGGTTTGAAACACTCTTTCTGTAGTATCTGGAAGTGGACATTTCGATCGATTTCAGGCCTATGTTGAAAAAGGAAATATCGTAACATAAAAACTAGACAGAAGCATTCTCAGAAACGTCTTTGTGATGTGTGTCCTCAACTAACAGAGTTCAACCTTTCTTATGATACAGCAGTTTGGAAACACTCTTTTTATAGAATTTGCAAGTTGATACATGGATAGCCCTAACTATTTCGTTGGAAACGGGAATATCTTCATATAAAACCTAGGCAGAAGCACTCTCAGAAACTACTTTTTGATATCTGCATTGATATCAGAGAGTTGAATATTCCCTTTCTAAGGGCAGGCTTGAAAGCGTCCTTTCGTGGAATCTGCAGGAGGATATTTGGATAGCTTTGAGGGTTACGTTGGAAACGGGATTACATGTACAAAGCAGACAGCAGCATTCTCAGAAGCTTCTTTGTGATGTTTGCGTTTAAGTCACAGAGTTGAACGTTCCCTTTCATAGAGCAGGTTTCAAACCCTCTTTCTGCAGTATCTGGAAGTGGACATTTCGAGCGCTTTCAGGCTTATGGTGAACAAGGAAATATCTTCCTATGCAAACCAGACAGAAGCATTCGCAGAAACTTGTTTGTGATGTGTGTCCTCAACTCACAGAGTTGAACATTTCGTTTGACAGAGCAGTTTGGAAACACGATTTTTGTAGAATCTGCAAGTGTATATTTGGATGGCTTTGTGGATTTCGTTGGAAACGGGAGTATCTTCATAGACAACCTAGACAGTAACATGCTCAGAAACTGTTTTGTGATATCTGCATTCACGTCACAGAGTTGAACATTCCCTTTCATAGAGCAGGTTTGAAACACCCTTTCTGAAGTATCTGGATGTGGGCACTTGGAGCTCTTGGACGCTTATGGTGAAAAAGGACATATCGTTCCATAAAAACTGGACAGAAGCATTCTCACAAACTGGTTTGTGATGTATGTCCTCAACTAACAGAGTTGAACATTTCTATTTACAGAGCAGTTTTGAGAGACTCTTTTGGAGAATCTGCAAGTGGATATTTGGAGAGCTTTAAGGATTTCATTGGAAACCGGAATATCTTCAGGTGAAATCTAGACAGAGGCATTCTCATAAACTTCTTTGTGATGTGTGTCCTCAACTAACAGAGTACAACCTGTCTTTTGATACAGCAGTTTGGAAACACTCTTTTTATAGAATCTGTAAGTGGATATTTGGATAGCTCTAACGATTTCGTTGGAAACGGGAATACCTTCATATAAAATCTAGACAGTGGCACTCTCAGAAAACTGCTTTGTGATATCTGCATTCAAGCCACAGAGTTGAACATTTCCCTTCCTAAAGCAGGTTTGAAACACTCTTTTTGTCGTATCTGGAAGTGGACATTTGGAGCACTTTGACGCCTTTGGTGAAAAAGGAAATGTCTTCCCATCAAAACTAGACAGAAGCATTCTAAGAAACATTTTTGGGATATATGTACTCAACTAACAGAGTTGAACCTTTCTCTTTATAGATCAGTTTTGGAAAGCTCTTTATGTGGAATCTGCAGATGGATATTCGGATAGCTCTGAGGATTTCGTTGGAGACGGGAATACTTAAAGAAACTAGACAGCAGCATTCTCGGGAGATTCTTTGTGATGTTTGCTTTGAAGTCACAGAGTTGAATATTCCCTTCAATAGAGCAGGTTTGAAACGCTCTTTCCGTAGTATCTGGAAGTGGACATTTCGATCGATTTCAGGCCTATGTTGAAAAAGGAAATATCTTAACATAAAAACTAGACAGAAGCATTCTCAGAAACGTCTTTGTGATGTGTGTCCTCAACTAACAGAGTTCAACCTTTCTTATGATACAGCAGTTGGGAAACACTCTTTTTATAGAATTTGCAAGTTGATACATGGATAGCCCTAACTATTTCGTTGGAAACGGGAATATCTTCACATAAAACCTAGACAGAAGCACTCTCAGAAACTACTTTGTGATATCTGCATTGATATCAGAGAGTTGAATATTCCCTTTCTAAGGGCAGGCTTGAAAGCGTCTTTTTGTGGAATCTGCAGGAGGATATTTGGATAGCTTGGAAGGTTACGTTGGAAACGGGATTACATATACAAAGTAGACAGCAGCATTCTCAGAAGCTTCTTTGTGATGTTTGCGTTTAAGTCACAGAGTTGAACGTTCCCTTTCATAGAGCAGGTTTCAAACCCTCTTTCTGCAGTATCTGGAAGTGGACATTTCGAGCGCTTTCAGGCCTATGGTGAACAAGGAAATATCTTCCCAAGCAAACTAGACAGAAGCATTCGCAGAAACTTGTTTGTGATGTGTGTCCTCAACTCACGGAGTTGAACATTTCGTTTGACAGAGCAGTTTGGAAACACGATATTTGTAGAATCTGCAAGTGGATATTTGGATGGCTTTGTGGATTTCGTTGGAAACGGGAGTATCTTCATTGACAACCTAGACAGTAACATTCTCAGAAACGGCTTTGTGATATCCGCATTCACGTCACAGAGTTGAACATTCCTTTTCATAGAGCAGGTTTGAAACACCCTTTCTGTAGTATCTGGATGTGGGCACTTGGAGCGCTTGGACGCTTATGGTGAAAAAGGAAATATCGTCCCATAAAAACTAGACAGAAGCATTCTCACAAACTGCTTTGAGACGTATGTCGTCAGCTAACAGAGTTGAACATTTCTATTCACAGAGCAGTTTTGAAAGACTCTTTTGGAGTATCTGCTAGTGGATATTTGGAGAGCTTTAAGGATTTCACCGGAAACCGGAATATCTTCAGGTAAAATCTAGACAGAGGCATTCTCAGAAACTTCTTTGTAATGTGTGTCCTCAACTAACAGTGTACAACCTATCTTTTGATACAGCACGTTGGAAACACTCTTTTTATAGAATCTGCAAGTGGATATTTGGATAGCTCTAACGATTTCGTTGGAAACGGGAATACCTTCATAAAAAATCTAGACAGTGGCACTCTCAGAAACTGCTTTGTGATATCTGCATTCAAGCCACAGAGTTGAACATTTCCCTTCCTAAAGCAGGTTTGAAACACTCTTTTTGTCGTATCTGGAAGTGGACATTTGGAGCACTTTGACGCCTTTGGTGAAAAAGGAAATGTCTTCCCATCAAAACTAGACAGAAGCATTCTAAGAAACATTTTTGGGATATATGTACTCAACTAACAGAGTTGAACCTTTCTCTTTATAGATCAGTTTTGGAAAGCTCTTTATGTGGAATCTGCAGATGGATATTCGGATAGCTCTGAGGATTTCGTTGGAGACGGGAATACATAAAGAAATTAGACAGCAGCATTCTCAGGAGATTCTTTGTGATGTTTGCTTTTAAGTCACAGAGTTGAATATTCCCTTCAATAGAGCAGGTTTGAAACACTCTTTCTGTAGTATCTGGAAGTGGACATTTCGATCGATTTCAGGCCTATGTTGAAAAAGGAAATACCTTAACATAAAAACTAGACAGAAGCATTCTCAGAAACGTCTTTGTGATGTGTGTCCTCAACTAACAGAGTTCAACCTTTCTTATGATACAGCAGTTTGGAAACACTCTTTTTATAGAATTTGCAAGTTGATACATGGATAGCCCTAACTATTTCGTTGGAAACGGGAATATCTTCATATAAAACCTAGGCAGAAACACTCTCAGAAACTACTTTGTGATATCTGCATTGATATCAGAGAGTTGAATATTCCCTTTCTAAGGGCAGGTTTGAAAGCGTCTTTTCGTGGAATCTGCAGGAGGATATTTGGATAGCTTTGAGGATTACGTTGGAAACGGGATTACATATACAAAGTAGACAGCAGCATTCTCAGAAGCTTCTTTGTGATGTTTGCGTTTAAGTCACAGAGTTGAACGTTCCCTTTCATAGAGCAGGTTTCAAACCCTCTTTCTGCAGTATCTGGAAGTGGACATTTCGAGTGCTTTCAGGCCCGTGGTGAACAAGGAAATATCTTCCCATGCAAACTAGACAGAAGCATTCGCAGAAACTTGTTTGTGATGTGTGTCCTCAACTCACAGAGTTGAACATTTCGTTTGACAGAGCAGTTTGGAAACACGATTTTTGTAGAATCTGCAAGTGGATATTTAGATGGCTTTGTGGATTTCGTTGGAAAAGGGAGTATCTTCATAGACAACCTAGACAGTTAACACTCTCAGAAACGGCTTTGTGATATCCGCATTCACGTCACAGAGTTGAACATTCCCTTTCATAGAGCAGGTTTGAAACACCCTTTCTGAAGTATCTGGATGTGGGCACTTGGAGCGCTTGGACGCTTATGGTGAAAAAGGAAATATCGTCCCATAAAACCTAGACAGAGCATTCTCACAAAATGCTTTGTGACGTATGTCTTCAACTAACAGAGTTGAACATTTCTATTCACAGAGCCGTTTTGAAAGACTCTTTTGGAGTATCTGCTAGTGGATATTTGGAGAGCTTTAAGGATTTCATTGGAAACCGGAATATCTTTAGGTAAAATCTAGACAGAGGCATTCTCAGAAACTTCTTTGTAATGTGTGTCCTCAACTAACAGTGTACAACCTATCTTTTGATACAGCACGTTGGAAACACTCTTTTTATAGAATCTGCAAGTGGATAGTTGGATAGATCTAACGATTTCGTTGGAAACGGGAATAACTTCATATAAAATCTAGACAGTGGCACTCTCAGAAACTGCTTTGTGATATCTGCATTCAAGCCACAGAGTTGAACATTTCCCTTCCTAAAGCAGGTTTGAAACACTCTTTTTGTCGTATCTGGAAGTGGACATTTGGAGCACTTTGACGCCTTTGGTGAAAAAGGAAATGTCTTCCCATGAAAACTAGACAGAAGCATTCTAAGAAACATTTTTGGGATATATGTACTCAACTAACAGATTTGAACCTTCCTCTTTATAGATCAGTTTTGGAAAGCTCTTTACGTGGAATCTGCAAGTGGATATTCGGATAGATCTGAGGATTTCGCTGGAGACGGGAATACATAAAGAAAGTAGACAGCAGCATTCTCAGGAGATTCTTTGTGATGTTTGCTTTTAAGTCACAGAGTTGAATATTCCCTTCAATAGAGCAGGTTTGAAACACTCTTTCTGTAGTATCTGGAAGTGGACATTTCGATCGATTACAGGCCTATGTTGAGAAAGGAAATACCTTAACATAAAAACTAGACAGAAGCATTCTCAGAAACGTCGTTGTGATGTGTGTCCTCAACTAACAGAGTTCAACCTTTCTTATGATACAGCAGTTTGGAAACACTCTTTTTATAGAATTTGCAAGTTGATACATGGATAGCCCTAACTATTTCGTTGGAAACGGGAATATCTTCATATAAAACCTAGACAGAAGCACTCTCAGAAACTACTTTGTGATATCTGCATTGATATCAGAGAGTTGAATATTCCCTTTCTAAGGGCAGGCTTGAAAGCGTCTTTTCGTGGAATCTGCAGGAGGATATTTGGATAGCTTTGAGGGTTACGTTGGAAACGGGATTACATGTACAAAGCAGACAGCAGCATTCTCAGAAGCTTCTTTATGATGTTTGCGTTTAAGTCACAGAGTTGAACGTTCCCTTTCATAGAGCAGGTTTCAAACCCTCTTTCTGCAGTATCTGGAATTGGACATTTCGAGCGCTTTCAGGCCTATGGTGAACAAGGAAATATCTTCCCATGCAAACTAGACAGAAGCATTCGCAAGAAACTTGTTTGTGATGTGTGTCCTCAACTCACGGAGTTGAACATTTCGTTTGACAGAGCAGTTCGGAAACACGATTTTTGTAGAATCTTCAAGTGGATATTTGGATGGCTTTGTGGATTTCGTTGGAAACGGGAGTATCTTCATAGACAACCTAGACAGTAACATGCTCAGAAACTGCTTTGTGATATCTGCATTCACGTCACAGAGTTGAACATTCCCTTTCATAGAGCAGGTTTGAAACACACTTTCTGTAGTATCTGGATGTGGGCACTTGGAGCGCTTGGACGCTTATGGTGAAAAAGGACATATCGTCCCATAAAAACTGGACAGAAGCATTCTCACAAACTGCTTTGTGACGTATGTCTTCAACTAACAGAGTTGAACATTTCTATTCACAGAGCCGTTTTGAAAGTGTCTTTTGGAGTGTCTGCTAGTGGATATTTGGAGAGCTTTAAGGATTTCATTGGAAACCGGAATATCTTCAGGTAAAATCTAGACAGAGGCATTCTCAGAAACTTCTTCATAATGTGTGTCCTCAACTAACAGTGTACAACCTATCTTTGGATACAGCACGTTGGAAACACTCTTTTTATCGAATCTGCAAGTGGATAGTTGGATAGCTCTAACGACTTCGTTGGAAACGGGAATACCTTCATATAAAAGCTAGAAAGTGGCACTCGCAGAAACTGCTTTGTGATATCTGCATTCAAGCCACAGAGTTGAACATTTCCCTTCCTAAAGCAGGTTTGAAACACTCTTTCTGTCGTATCTGGAAGTGGACATTTGGAGCACTTTGACGCCTTTGGTGAAAAAGGAAATGTCTTCCCATCAAAAGTAGACAGAAGCATTCTAAGAAACATTTTTGGGATATATGTACTCAACTAACAGAGTTGAACCTTTCTCTTTATAGATCAGTTTTGGAAAGCTCTTTATGTGGAATCTGCAGATGGATATTCGGATAGCTCTGAGGATTTCGTTGGAGACGGGAATACATAAAGAAAGTAGACAGCAGCATTCTCAGGAGATTCCTTTGTGATGTTTGCTTTTAAGTCACAGAGTTGAATATTCCCTTCAATAGAGCAGGTTTGAAACACTCTTTCTGTAGTATCTGGAAGTGGACATTTCGATCGATTTCAGGCCTATGTTGAAAAAGGAAATACCTTAACATCAAAACTAGACAGAAGCATTCTCAGAAACGTCTTTGTGATGTGTGTCCTCAACTAACAGAGTTCAACCTTTCTTATGATACAGCAGTTGGGAAACACTCTTTTTATAGAATTTGCAAGTTGATACATGGATAGCCCTAACTATTTCGTTGGAAACGGGAATATCTTCACATAAAACCTAGACAGAAGCACTCTCAGAAACTACTTTGTGATATCTGCATTGATATCAGAGAGTTGAATATTCCCTTTCTAAGGGCAGGCTTGAAAGCGTCTTTTCGTGGAATCTGCAGGAGAATATTTGGATAGCTTTGAGGGTTACGTTGGAAACGGGATTACATATACAAAGTAGACAGCAGCATTCTCAGAAGCTTCTTTGTGATGTTTGCGTTTAAGTCACAGAGTTGAACGTTCCCTTTCATAGAGCAGGTTTCAAACCCTCTTTCTGCAGTATCTGGAAGTGGACATTTCGAGCGCTTTCAGGCCCATGGTGAACAAGGAAATATCTTCCCATGCAAACTAGCACAGAAGCATTTGCAGAAACTTGTTTGTGATGTGTGTCCTCAACTCACAGAGTTGAGCATTTCGTTTGACAGAGCAGTTTGGAAACACGATTTTTGTAGGATCTGCAAGTGGATATTTGGATGGCTTTGTGGATTTCGTTGGAAACGGGAGTATCTTCATAGACAACCTAGACAGTAACATGCTCAGAAACTGCTTTGTGATATCTGCATTCACGTCACAGAGTTGAACATTCCCTTTCATAGAGCAGGTTTGAAACACACTTTCTGTAGCATCTGGATGTGGGCACTAGGAGCGCTTGGACACTTACGGTGAAAAAGGACATATCGTCCCATAAAAACTGGACAGAAGCATTCTCACAAACTGCTTTGTGACGTATGTCTTCAACTAACAGAGTTGAACATTTCTATTTACAGAGCAGTTTTGAAAGACTCTTTTGGAGTATCTGCTAGTGGATATTTGGAGAGCTTTAAGGATTTCATTGGAAACCGGAATATCTTCAGGTAAAATCTAGACAGAGGCATTCTCAGAAACTTCTTCGTCATGTGTGTCCTCAACTAACAGTGTACAACCTATCTTTTGATACAGCACGTTGGAAACACTCTTTTTATAGAATCTGCAAGTGGATAGTTGGATAGCTCTAACGATTTCATTGGAAACGGGAATACCTTCATATAAAATCTAGACAGTGGCACTCTCAGAAACTGCTTTGTGATATCTGCATTCAAGCCACAGAGTTGAACATTTCCCTTCCTAAAGCAGGTTTGAAACACTCTTTTTGTCGTATCTGGAAGTGGACATTTGGAGCACTTTGACGCCTTTGGTGAAAAAGGAAATGTCTTCCCATCAAAACTAGACAGAAGCATTCTAAGAAACATTTTTGGGATATATGTACTCAACTAACAGAGTTGAACCTTCCTCTTTATAGATCAGTTTTGGAAAGCTCTTTACGTGGAATCTGCAAGTGGATATTCGGATAGCTCTGAGGATTTCGCTGGAGACGGGAATACATAAAGAAAGTAGACAGCAGCATTCTCGGGAGATTCTTTGTGATGTTTGCTTTGAAGTCACAGAGTTGACTATTCCCTTCAATAGAGCAGGTTTGAAACACTCTTTCCGTAGTATCTGGAAGTGGACATTTCGATCGATTTCAGGCCTATGTTGAAAAAGGAAATATCTTAACATAAAAACTAGACAGAAGCATTCTCAGAAACGTCTTTGTGATGTGTGTCCTCAACTAACAGAGTTCAACCTTTCTTATGATACAGCAGTTTGGAAACACTCTTTTTATAGAATTTGCAAGATGATACATGGATAGCCCTAACTATTTCGTTGGAAACGGGAATATCTTCATATAAAACCTAGGCAGAAGCACTCTCAGTAAACTACTTTGTGAAATCTGCATTGATATCAGAGAGTTGAATATTCCCTTTCTAAGGGCAGGCTTGAAAGCGTCTTTTCATGGAATCTGCAGGAGGATATTTGGATAGCTTTGAGGGTTACGTTGGAAACGGGATTACATGTACAAAGCAGACAGCAGCATTCTCAGAAGCTTCTTTATGATGTTTGCGTTTAAGTCACAGAGTTGAACGTTCCCTTTCATAGAGCAGGTTTCAAACCCTCTTTCTGCAGTATCTGGAAGTGGACATTTCGAGCGCTTTCAGGCCCATGGTGAACAAGGAAATATCTTCCCATGCAAACTAGACAGAAGCATTCGCAGAAACTTGTTTGTGATGTGTGTCCTCAACTCACAGAGTTGAACATTTCGTTTGACAGAGCAGTTTGGAAACACGATTTTTGTAGAATCTGCAAGTGGATATTTGGATGGCTTTGTGGATTTCGTTGGAAACGGGAGTATCTTCATAGAAAACCTAGACAGTAACATTCTCAGAAATGGCTTTGTAATATCCGCATTCACGTCACAGAGTTGAACTTTCCCTCTCATAGAGCAGGCTTGAAACACACTTTCTGTAGTATCTGGATGTGGGCACTTGGAGTGCTTGGACGCTTATGGTGAAAAAGGAAATATCGTCCCATAAAAACTAGACAGAAGCATTCTCACAAACTGCTTTGGGACGTATGTCTTCAACTAACAGAGTTGAACATTTCTATTCACAGAGCAGTTTTGAAAGACTCCTTTGGAGTATCTGCTAGTGGATATTTGGAGAGCTTTAAGGATTTCATTGGAAACCGGAATATCTTCAGGTAAAATCTAGACAGAGGCATTCTCAGAAACTTCTCTGTAATGTGTGTCCTCAACTAACAGTGTACAACCTATCTTTTGATACAGCACGTTGGAAACACTCTTTTTATAGAATCTGCAAGTGGATAGTTGGATAGCTCCAACGATTTCGTTGGAAACGGGAATACCTTCCTATAAAATCTAGACAGTGGCACTCTCAGAAACTGCTTTGTGATATCTGCATTCAAGCCACAGAGTTGAACATTTCCCTTCCTAAAGCAGGTTTGAAACACTCTTTCTGTCGTATCTGGAAGTGGACATTTGGAGCACTTTGACGCCTTTTGTGAAAAAGGAAATGTCTTCCCATCAAAACTAGACAGAAGCATTCTAAGAAACATTTTTGGGATATATGTACTCAACTAACAGAGTTGAACCTTTCTCTTTATAGATCAGTTTTGGAAAGCTCTTTATGTGGAATCTGCAGATGGATATTCGGATAGCTCTGAGGATTTCGTTGGAGACGGGAATACATAAAGAAAGTAGACAGCAGCATTCTCGGGAGATTCTTTGTGATGTTTGCTTTGAAGTCACAGAGTTGAATATTCCCTTCAATAGAGCAGGTTTGAAACACTCTTTCTGTAGTATCTGGAAGTGGCCATTTCGATCGATTTCAGGCCTATGTTGAAAAAGGAAATATCTCTACATAAAAACTAGACAGAAGCATTCTCAGAAACGTCTTTGTGATGTGTGTCCTCAACTAACAGAATTCAACCTTTCTTATGATACAGCAGTTGGGAAACACTCTTTTTATAGAATTTGCAAGCTGATACATGGATAGCCCTAACTATTTCGTTGGAAACGGGAATATCTTCACATAAAACCTAGACAGAAGCACTCTCAGAAACTACTTTGTGATATCTGCATTGATATCAGAGAGTTGAATATTCCCTTTCTAAGGGCAGGCTTGAAAGCGTCTTTTCGTGGAATCTGCAGGAGGATATTTGGATAGCTTTGAGGGTTACGTTGGAAACGGGATTACATGTACAAAGTAGACAGCAGCATTCTCAGAAGCTTCTTTATGATGTTTGCGTTCAAGTCACACAGTTGAACGTTCCCTTTCATAGAGCAGGTTTCAAACCCTCTTTCTGCAGTATCTGGAAGTGGACATTTCGAGCGCTTTCAGGCCTATGGTGAACAAGGAAATATCTTCCCATGCAAACTAGACAGAAGCATTCGCAGAAACTTGTTTGTGATGTGTGTCCTCAACTCACGGAGTTGAACATTTCGTTTGACAGAGCAGTTTGGAAACACGATTTTTGTAGAATCTGCAAGTGGATATTTGGATGGCTTTGTGGATTTCGTTGGAAACGGGAGTATCTTCATAGACAACCTAGACAGTAACATGCTCAGAAACTGCTTTGTGATATCTGCATTCACGTCACAGAGTTGAACATTCCCTTTCATAGAGCAGGTTTGAAACACACTTTCTGTAGTATCTGGATGTGGGCACTTGGAGCGCTTGGACGCTTATGGTGAAAAAGGACATATCGTCCCATAAAAACTGGACAGAATCATTCTCACAAACTGCTTTGTGACGTATGTCTTCAACTAACAGAGTTGAACATTTCTATTCACAGAGCAGTTTTGAAGGACTCTTTTGGAGTATCTGCTAGTGGATATTTGGAGAGCTTTAAGGATTTCATTGGAAACCGGAATATCTTCAGGTAAAATCTAGACAGAGGCATTCTCAGAAACTTCTTCGTAATGAGTGTCCTCAACTAACAGTGTACAACCTATCTTTTGATACAGCACGTTGGAAACACTCTTTTTATAGAATCTGCAAGTGGATAGTTGGATAGCTCTAACGATTTCGTTGGAAACGGGAATACCTTCATATAAAATCTAGACAGTAACATGCTCAGAAACTGCTTTGTAATATCTGCATTCACGTCACAGAGTTGAACATTCCCTTTCATAGAGCAGGTTTGAAACACTCTTTTTGTCGTATCTGGAAGTGGACATTTGGAGCACATGCACGCCTGTGGTGAAAAAGGAAATGTCTTCCCATGAAAACTAGACAGAAGCATTCTAAGAAACATTTTTGGGATATATGTACTCAACTAACAGAGTTGAACCTTTCTCTTTATAGATCAGTTTTGGAAAGCTCTTTATGTGGAATCTGCAGATGGATATTCGGATAGCTCTGAGGATTTCGTTGGAGACGGGAATACATAAAGAAAGTAGACAGCAGCATTCTCAGGAGATTCTTTGTGATGTTTGCTTTTAAGTCACAGAGTTGAATATTCCCTTCAATAGAGCAGGTTTGAAACACTCTTTCTGTAGTATCTGGAAGTGGACATTTCAATCGATTTCAGGCCTATGTTGAAAAAGAAAATACCTTAACATAAAAACTAGACAGAAGCATTCTCAGAAACGTCTTTGTGATGTGTGTCCTCAACTAACAGAGTTCAACCTTTCTTATGATACAGCAGTTTGGAAACACTCTTTTTATAGAATTTGCAAGTTGATACATGGATAGCCCTAACTATTTCGTTGGAAACGGGAATATCTTCATATAAAACCTAGGCAGAAGCACTCTCAGAAACTACTTTGTGATATCTGCATTGATATCAGAGAGTTGAATATTCCCTTTCTAAGGGCAGGCTTGAAAGCGTCTTTTTGTGGAATCTGCAGGAGGATATTTGGATAGCTTGGAGGGTTACGTTGGAAACGGGATTACATATACAAAGTAGACAGCAGCATTCTCAGAAGCTTCTTTGTGATGTTTGCGTTTAAGTCACAGAGTTGAACGTTCCCTTTCATAGAGCAGGTTTCAAACCCTCTTTCTGCAGTATCTGGAAGTGGACATTTCGAGCGCTTTCAGGCCCGTGGTGAACAAGGAAATATCTTCCCATGCAAACTAGACAGAAGCATTCGCAGAAACTTGTTTGTGATGTGTGTCCTCAACTCACAGAGTTGAACATTTCGTTTGACAGAGCAGTTTGGAAACACGATTTTTGTAGAATCTGCAAGTGGATATTTGGATGGCTTTGTGGATTTCGTTGGAAACGGGAGTATCTTCATAGACAACCTAGACAGTAACATGCTCAGAAACTGCTTTGTGATATCTGCATTCATGTCACAGAGTTGAACATTCCCTTTCATAAAGCAGGTTTGAAACACACTTTCTGTAGTATCTGGATGTGGGCACTTGGAGCGCTTGGACGCTTATGGTGAAAAAGGACATATCGTTCCATAAAAACTGGACAGAAACATTCTCAGAAACTGCTTTGTGACGTATGTCGTCAGCTAACAGAGTTGAGCATTTCTATTCACAGAGCAGTTTTGAAAGACTCTTTTGGAGTATCTGCTAGTGGATATGTGGAGAGCTTTAAGGATTTCACTGGAAACCGGAATATCTTCAGGTAAAATCTAGACAGAGGCATTCTCAGAAACTTCTTTGTAATGTTTGTCCTCAACTAACAGTGTACAACCTATCTTTTGATACAGCACGTTGGAAACACTCTTTTTATAGAATCTGCAAGTGGATATTTGGATAGCTCTAACGATTTCGTTGGAAACGGGAATACCTTCATATAAAATCTAGACAGTGGCACTCTCAGAAACTGCTTTGTGATATCTGCATTCAAGCCACAGAGTTGAACATTTCCCTTCCTAAAGCAGGTTTGAAACACTCGTTTTGTCGTATCTGGAAGTGGACATTTGGAGCACTTTGACGCTTTTGGTGAAAAAGGAAATGTCCTCCCGTCAAAACTAGACAGAAGCATTCTAAGAAACATTTTTGGGATATATGTACTCAACTAACAGAGTTGAACCTTCCTCTTTATAGATCAGTTTAGGAAAGCTCTTTACGTGGAATCTGCAAGTGGATATTCGGATAGCTCTGAGGATTTCGCTGGAGACGGGAATACATAAAGAAAGTAGACTGCAGCATTCTCGGGAGATTCTTTGTGATGTTTGCTTTTAAGTCAGAGAGTTGAATATTCCCTTCAATAGAGCAGGTTTGAAACACTCTTTCTGTAGTATCTGGAAGTGGACATTTCGATCGATTTCAGGCCTATGTTGAAAAAGGAAATATCGTAACATAAAAACTAGACAGAAGCATTCTCAGAAACGTCTTTGTGATGTGTGTCCTCAACTAACAGGGTTCAACCTTTCTTATGATACAGCAGTTTGGAAACACTCTTTTTATAGAATTTGCAAGTTGATACATGGATAGCCCTAACTATTTCGTTGGAAACGGGAATATCTTCATATAAAACCTAGGCAGAAGCACTCTCAGAAACTACTTTGTGATATCTGCATTGATATCAGAGAGTTGAATATTCCCTTTCTAAGGGCAGGCTTGAAAGCGTCTTTTTTTGGAATCTGCAGGAGGATATTTGGATAGCTTTGAGTGTTACGTTGGAAACGGGATTACATGTACAAAGCAGACAGCAAGCATTCTCAGAAGCTTCTTTATGATGTTTGCGTTCAAGTCACAGAGTTGAACGTTCCCTTTCATAGAGCAGGTTTCAAACCCTCTTTCTGCAGTATCTGGAAGTGGACATTTCGAGCGCTTTCAGGCCTATGGTGAACAAGGAAATATCTTCCCATGCAAACTAGACAGAAGCATTCGCAGAAACTTGTTTGTGATGTGTGTCCTCAACTCAGGGAGTTGAACATTTCGTTTGACAGAGCAGTTTGGAAACACGATTTTTGTAGAATCTGCAAGTGGATATTTGGATGGCTTTGTGGATTTCGTTGGAAACGGGAGTATCTTCACAGACAACCTAGACAGTAACATTCTCAGGAAACGGCTTTGTGATATCCGCATTCACGTCACAGAGTTGAACATTCCCTTTCATAGAGCAGGTTTGAAACACCCTTTCTGAAGTATCTGGATGTGGGCACTTGGAGCTCTTGGACGCTTATGGTGAAAAAGGAAATATCGTCCCATAAAACCTAGACAGAAGCATTCTCACAAACTGCTTTGTGACGTATGTCTTCAACTAACAGAGTTGAACATTTCTATTCACAGAGCAGTTTTGAAAGACTCCTTTGGAGTATCTGCTAGTGGATATTTGGAGAGCTTTAAGGATTTCATTGGAAACCGGAATATCTTCAGGTAAAATCTAGACAGAGGCATTCTCAGAAACTTCTTCGTAATGTGTGTCCTCAACTAACAGTGTACAACCTATCTTTTGATACAGCACGTTGGAAACACTCTTTTTATAGAATCTGCAAGTGGATAGTTGGATAGCTCTAAAGATTTCGTTGGAAACGGGAATACCTTCAAATAAAATCTAGACAGTGGCACTCGCAGAAACTGCTTTGTGATATCTGCATTCAAACCACAGAGTTGAACATTTCCCTTCCTAAAGCAGGTTTGAAACACTCTTTCTGTCGTATCTGGAAGTGGACATTTGGAGCACTTTGACGCCTTTGGTGAAAAAGGAAATGTCTTCCCATCAAAACTAGACAGAAGCATTCTAAGAAACATTTTTGGGATATATGTACTCAACTAACAGAGTTGAACCTTTCTCTTTACAGATCAGTTTTGGAAAGCTCTTTATGTGGAATCTGCAGATGGATATTCGGATAGCTCTGAGGATTTCTTTGGAGACGGGAATACATAAAGAAAGTAGACAGCAGTATTCTCGGGAGATTCTTTGTGATGTTTGCTTTGAAGTCACAGAGTTGAATATTCCCTTCAATAGAGCAGGTTTGAAACACTCTTTCTGTAGTATCTGGAAGTGGACATTTCGATCGATTTCAGACCTATGTTGAAAAAGGAAATATCGTAACATAAAAACTAGACAGAAGCATTCTCAGAAACGTCTTTGTGATGTGTGTCCTCAACTAACAGAGTTCAACATTTCTTATGATACAGCAGTTTGGAAACACTCTTTTTATAGAATTTGCAAGTTGATACATGGATAGCCCTAACTATTTCGTTGGAAACGGGAATATCTTCATATAAAACCTAGGCAGAAGCACTCTCAGAAACTACTTTGTGATATCTGCATTGATATCAGAGAGTTGAATATTCCCTTTCTAAGGGCAGGCTTGAAAGCGTCTTTTCGTGGAATCTGCAGGAGGATATTTGGATAGCTTTGAGGGTTACGTTGGAAACGGGATTACATGTACAAAGCAGACAGCAGCATTCTCAGAAGCTTCTTTATGATGTTTGCGTTCAAGTCACAGAATTGAACGTTCCCTTTCATAGAGCAGGTTTCAAACCCTCTTTCTGCAGTATCTGGAAGTGGACATTTCGAGCGCTTTCAGGCCTATGGTGAACAAGGAAATATCTTCCCATGCAAACTAGACAGAAGCATTCGCAGAAACTTGTTTGTGATGTGTGTCCTCAACTCACAGAGTTGAACATTTCGTTTGACAGAGCAGTTTGGAAACACGATTTTTGTAGAATCTGCAAGTGGATATTTGGATGGCTTTGTGGATTTCGTTGGAAACGGGAGTATCTTCATAGAAAACCTAGACAGTAACATTCTCAGAAACGGCTTTGTGATATCCGCATTCACGTCACAGAGTTGAACATTCCCTTTCATAGAGCAGGTTTGAAACACCCTTTCTGTAGTATCTGGATGTGGGCACTTGGAGCTCTTGGACGCTTATGGTGAAAAAGGAAATATCGTCCCATAAAAACTAGACAGAAGCATTCTCACAAACTGCTTTGAGACGTATGTCGTCAGCTAACAGAGTTGAACATTTCTATTCACAGAGCAGTTTTGAAAGACTCTTTTGGAGTATCTGCTAGTGGATATTTGGAGAGCTTTAAGGATTTCACCGGAAACCGGAATATCTTCAGGTAAAATCTAGACAGAGGCATTCTCAGAAACTTCTTTGTAATGTGTGTCCTCAACTAACAGTGTACAACCTATCTTTTGATACAGCACGTTGGAAACACTCTTTTTATAGAATCTGCAAGTGGATATTTGGATAGCTCTAACGATTTCGTTGGAAACGGGAATACCTTCATATAAAATCTAGACAGTGGCACTCTCAGAAACTGCTTTGTGACATCTGCATTCAAGCCACAGAGTTGAACATTTCCCTTCCTAAAGCAGGTTTGAAACACTCTTTCTGTCGTATCTGGAAGTGGACATTTGGAGCACTTTGACGCCTTTGGTGAAAAAGGAAATGTCTTCCCATCAAAACTAGACAGAAGCATTCTAAGAAACATTTTTGGGATATATGTACTCAACTAACAGAGTTGAACCTTTCTCTTTATAGATCAGTTTTGGAAAGCTCTTTATGTGGAATCTGCAGATGGATATTCGGATAGCTCTGAGGATTTCGTTGGAGACGGGAATACATAAAGAAAGTAGACAGCAGCATTCTCAGGAGATTCTTTGTGATGTTTGCTTTTAAGTCACAGAGTTGAATATTCCCTTCAATAGAGCAGGTTTGAAACACTCTTTCTGTAGTATCTGGAAGTGGACATTTCGATCGATTTCAGGCCTATGTTGAAAAAGGAAATACCTTAACATCAAAACTAGAAAGAAGCATTCTCAGAAACGTCTTTGTGATGTGTGTCCTCAACTAACAGAGTTCAACCTTTCTTATGATACAGCAGTTTGGAAACACTCTTTTTATAGAATTTGCAAGTTGATACATGGATAGCCCTAACTATTTCGTTGGAAACGGGAATATCTTCATATAAAACCTAGGCAGAAGCACTCTCAGAAACTACTTTGTGATATCTGCATTGATATCAGAGAGTTGAATATTCCCTTTCTAAGGGCAGGCATGAAAGCGTCTTTTTTTGGAATCTGCAGGAGGATATTTGGATAGCTTTGAGTGTTACGTTGGAAACGGGATTACATGTACAAAGCAGACAGCAGCATTCTCAGAAGCTCCTTTATGATGTTTGCGTTCAAGTCACACAGTTGAACGTTCCCTTTCATAGAGCAGGTTTGAAACCCTCTTTCTGCAGTATCTGGAAGTGGACATTTCGAGCGCTTTCAGGCCTATGGTGAACAAGGAAATATCTTCCCATGCAAACTAGACAGAAGCATTCGCAGAAACTTGTTTGTGATGTGTGTCCTCAACTCACAGAGTTGAACATTTCGTTTGACAGAGCAGTTTGGAAACACGATTTTTGTAGAATCTGCAAGTGGATATTTGGATGGCTTTGTGGATTTCGTTGGAAACGGGAGTATCTTCATAGAAAACCTAGACAGAAACATTCTCAGAAACTGCTTTGTGATATCTGCATTCACGTCACAGAGTTGAACATTCCCTTTCATAGAGCAGGTTTGAAACACACTTTCTGTAGTATCTGGATGTGGGCACTTGGAGCGCTTGGACGCTTATGGTGAAAAAGGACATATCGTCCCATAAAAACTGGACAGAAGCATTCTCACAAACTGCTTTGTGACGTATGTCTTCAACTAACAGAGTTGAACATTTCTATTCACAGAGCAGTTTTGAAAGACTCTTTTGGAGTATCTGCTAGTGGATATTTGGAGAGCTTTAAGGATTTCTTTGGAAACCGGAATATCTTCAGGTAAAATCTAGACAGAGGCATTCTCAGAAACTTCTTTGTAATGTGTGTCCTCAACTAACAGTGTACAACCTATCTTTTGATACAGCACGTTGGAAACACTCTTTTTATAGAATCTGCAAGTGGACATTTGGATAGCTCTAACGATTTCGTTGGAAACGGGAATCCCTTCATATAAAATCTAGACAGTGGCACTCTCAGAAACTGCTTTGTGATATCTGCATTCAAGCCACAGAGTTGAACATTTCCCTTCCTAAAGCAGGTTTGAAACACTCTTTTTGTCGTATCTGGAAGTGGACTTTTGGAGCACTTTGGCGCCTTTGGTGAAAAAGGAAATGTCTTCCCATGAAAACTAGACAGAAGCATTCTAAGAAACATTTTTGGGATATATGTACTCAACTAACAGAGTTGAACCTTTCTCTTTATAGATCAGTTTTGGAAAGCTCTTTATGTGGAATCTGCAGATGGATATTCGGATAGCTCTGAGGATTTCGTTGGAGACGGGAATACATAAAGAAAGTAGACAGCAGCATTCTCAGGAGATTCTTTGTGATGTTTGCTTTTAAGTCACAGAGTTGAATATTCTCTTCCATAAATCAGGTTTGAAACGCTCTTTCTGTAGTACCTGGAAGTGGACATTTCGAGCGTTTTCAGGCCTATGTTGAAAAAGGAAATATCTTCCCATAAAAACGAGACAGAAGCATTCTCAGAAACGTCTTTGTGATGTGTGTCCTCAACTAACAGATTTCAACCTTTCTTATGATACAGCAGTTTGGAAACACTCTTTTTATAGAATTTGCAAGTTGATACATGGATAGCCCTAACTATTTCGTTGGAAACGGGAATATCTTCATATAAAACCTAGGCAGAAGCACTCTCAGAAACTGCTTTGTGATATCTGCATTGATATCAGAGAGTTGAATATTCCCTTTCTAAGGGCAGGCTTGAAAGCGTCTTTTCGTGGAATCTGCAGGAGGATATTTGGATAGCTTTGAGGGATACGTTGGAAACGGGATTACATATACAAAGTAGACAGCAGCATTCTCACAAACTTCTTTGTGATGTTTGCTTTTAAGTCACAGAGTTGAACTTTCCCTTTCATAGAGCAGGTTTGTAACACTCTTACTGTAGTATCTGGAAGTGGATATTTTGAAAGCTTTCAGGCCTATGGTGAAAAAGGAAATATCTTCCCATAAAAACTAGATTGAAGCATTGTCAGAAACTTGTTTGTGATGTGTGTCCTCAAATAACAGAGTTCAACAATTCTTTTGATACAAAAGTTTTGAAACACTCTTTCTGCAGAATCTGCAAGTGGATATTTGGATGGCTTTAAGGATTTGGTTGCAAACGGGAATATTTTCATGTAAAATCTACACAGAAACATGCTCAGAAACTGCTTTGTGATATCTGCATTCACGTCACAGAGTTGAACATTCCCTTTCATAGAGCAGGTTTGAAACACACTTTCTGTAGTATCTGGATGTGGGCACTTGGAGCGCTTGGACGCTTATGGTGAAAAAGGACAGATCGTCCCATAAAAACTGGACAGAAGCATTCTCACAAACTGCTTTGTGACGTATGTCGTCAGCTAACAGAGTTGAGAATTTCTATTCACAGAGCAGTTTTGAAAGACTCTTTTGGAGTATCTGCTAGTGGATATGTGGAGAGCTTTAAGGATTTCACTGGAAACCGGAATATCTTCAGGTAAAATCTAGACAGAGGCATTCTCAGAAACTTCTTCGTAATGTGTGTCCTCAACTAACAGTGTACAACCTATCTTTTGATACAGCACGTTGGAAACACTCCTTTTATAGAATCTGCAAGTGGATAGTTGGATAGCTCTAACGATTTCGTTGGAAACGGGAATACCTTCATATAAAATCTAGACAGTGGCACTCTCAGAAACTGCTTTGTGATATCTGCATTCAAGCCACAGAGTTGAACATTTCCCTTCCTAAAGCAGGTTTGAAACACCCTTTTTGTCGTATCTGGAAGTGGACATTTGGAGCACTTTGACGCCTTTGGTGAAAAAGGAAATGTCTTCCCATGAAAACTAGACAGAAGCATTCTAAGAAACATTTTTGGGATATATGTACTCAACTAACAGAGTTGAACCTTTCTCTTTATAGATCAGTTTTGGAAAGCTCTTTATGTGGAATCTGCAGATGGATATTCGGATAGCTCTGAGGATTTCGTTGGAGACGGGAATACATAAAGAAAGTAGACAGCAGCAATCTCAGGAGATTCTTTGTGATGTTTGCTTTTAAGTCACAGAGTTGAATATTCCCTTCAATAGAGCAGGTTTGAAACACTCTTTCTGTAGTATCTGGAAGTGGACATTTCGATCGATTTCAGGCCTATGTTGAAAAAGGAAATACCTTAACATAAAAACTAGACAGAAGCATTCTCAGAAACGTCTTTGTGATGTGTGTCCTCAACTAACAGAGTTCAACCTTTCTTATGATACAGCAGTTTGGAAACACTCTTTTTATAGAATTTGCAAGTTGATACATGGATAGCCCTAACTATTTCGTTGGAAACGGGAATATCTTCATATAAAACCTAGACAGAAGCACTCTCACCAAACTACTTTGTGATATCTGCATTGATATCAGAGAGTTGAATATTCCCTTTCTAAGGGCAGGCTTGAAAGCGTCTTTTCGTGGAATCTGCAGGAGGATATTTGGATAGCTTGGAGGGTTACGTTGGAAACGGGATTACATATACAAAGTAGACAGCAGCATTCTCAGAAGCTTCTTTATGATGTTTGCGTTTAAGTCACAGAGTTGAACGTTCCCTTTCATAGAGCAGGTTTCAAACCCTCTTTCTGCAGTATCTGGAATTGGACATTTCGAGCGCTTTCAGGCCTATGGTGAACAAGGAAATATCTTCCCATGCAAACTAGACAGAAGCATTCGCAGAAACTTGTTTCTGATGTGTGTCCTCAACTCACGGAGTTGAACATTTCGTTTGAAAGAGCAGTTCAGAAACACGATTTTCGTAGAATCTTCAAGTGGATATTTGGATGGCTTTGTGGATTTCGTTGGAAACGGGAGTATCTTCATAGACAACCTAGACAGTAACATGCTCAGAAACTGCTTTGTGATATCTGCATTCACGTCACAGAGTTGAACATTCCCTTTCATAGTGCAGGTTTGAAACACACTTTCTGTAGTATCTGGATGTGGGCACTTGGAGCGCTTGGACGCTTATGGTGAAAAAGAACATATCGTCCCATAAAAACTGGACAGAAGCATTCTCACAAACTGCTTTGTGACGTATGTCTTCAACTAACTGAGTTGAACATTTCTATTCACAGAGCCGTTTTGAAAGACTCTTTTGGAGTGTCTGCTAGTGGATATATGGAGAGCTTTAAGGATATCATTGGAAACCGGAATATCTCCAGGTAGAATCTAGACAGAGGCATTCTCAGAAACTTCTTTGTAATGTGTGTCCTCAACTAACAGTGTACAACCTATCTTTTGATACAGCACGTTGGAAACACTCTTTTTATAGAATCTGCAAGTGGATATTTGGATAGCTCTAACGATTTCGTTGGAAACGGGAATACCTTCATATAAAATCTAGACAGTGGCACTCTCAGAAACTGCTTTGTGATATCTGCATTCAAGCCACAGAGTTGAAAATTTCCCTTCCTAAAGCAGGTTTGAAACACTCTTTCTGTCATATCTGGAAGTGGACATTTGGAGCACTTTGACGCCTTTGATGAAAAAGGAAATGTCTTCCCATCAAAACTAGACAGAAGCATTCTAAGAAACATTTTTGGGATATATGTACTCAACTAACAGAGTTGAACCTTTCTCTTTATAGATCAGTTTTGGAAAGCTCTTTATGTGGAAACTGCAAATGGATATTCGGATAGCTCTGAGGATTTCGTTGGAGACGGGAATACATAAAGAAAGTAGACAGCAGCATTCTCGGGAGATTCTTTGTGATGTTTGCTTTGAAGTCACAGAGTTGAATATTCCCTTCAATAGAGCAGGTTTGAAACACTCTTTCTGTAGTATCTGGAAGTGGACATTTCGATCGATTTCAGGCCTATGTTGAAAAAGGAAATATCTTAACATAAAAACTAGACAGAAACATTCTCAAAAACGTCTTTGTGATGTGTGTCCTCAACTAACAGAGTTCAACCTTTCTTATGATACAGCAGTTTGGAAACACTCTTTTTATAGAATTTGCAAGTTGATACATGGATAGCCCTAACTATTTCGTTGGAAACGGGAATATCTTCATATAAAACCTAGGCAGAAGCACTCTCAGAAACTACTTTGTGATATCTGCATTGATATCAGAGAGTTGAATATTCCCTTTCTAAGGGCAGGCTTGAAAGCGTCTTTTCGTGGAATCTGCGGGAGGATATTTGGATAGCTTTGAGGGTTACGTTGGAAACGGGATTACATATACAAAGTAGACAGCAGCATTCTCAGAAGCTTCTTTATGATGTTTGCGTTCAAGTCACAGAGTTGAACGTTCCCTTTCATAGAGCAGGTTTCAAACCCTCTTTCTGCAGTATCTGGAAGTGGACATTTCGAGCGCTTTCAGGCCTATGGTGAACAAGGAAATATCTTCCCATGCAAACTAGACAGAAGCATTCGCAGAAACTTGTTTGTGATGTATGTCCTCAACTCACAGAGTTGAACATTTCGTTTGACAGAGCAGTTTGGAAACACGATTCTTGTAGAATCTGCAAGTGGATATTTGGATGGCTTTGTGGATTTCGTTGGAAACGGGAGTATCTTCATAGACAACCTAGACAGTAACATTCTCAGAAATGGCTTTGTGATATCCGCATTCACGTCACAGAGTTGAACATTCCCTCTCATAGAGCAGGCTTGAAACACACATTCTGTAGTATCTGGATGTGGGCACTTGGAGTGCTTGGACGCTTATGGTGAAAAAGGAAATATCGTCCCATAAAAACTAGACAGAAGCATTCTCAGAAACTGCTTTGTGACGTATGTCTTCAACTAACAGAGTGGAACATTTCTATTCACAGAGCAGTTTTGAAAGACTCTTTTGGAGTATCTGCTAGTGGATATTTGGAGAGCTTTAAGGATTTCATTAGAAACCAGAGTATTTCAGGTAAAATCTAGACAGAGGCATTCTCAGAAACTTCTTCGTAATGTGTGTCCTCAACTAACAGTGTACAACCTATCTTTTGATACAGCACGTTGGAAACACTCTTTTTATAGAATCTGCAAGTGGATAGTTGGATAGCTCTAACGATTTCGTTGGAAACGGGAATACCTTCATATAAAATCTAGACAGTGGCACTCTCAGAAACTGCTTTGTGATATCTGCATTCAAGCCACAGAGTTGAACATTTCCCTTCCTAAAGCAGGTTTGAAACACTCTTTTTGTCGTATCTGGAAGTGGACATTTGGAGCACTTTGACGCCTTTGGTGAAAAAGGAAATGTCTTCCCATGAAAGCTAGACAGAAGCATTCTAAGAAACATTTTTGGGATGTATGTACTCAACTAACAGAGTTGAACCTTTCTCTTTATAGATCAGTTTTGGAAAGCTCTTTATGTGGAATCTGCAGATGGATATTCGGATAGCTCTGAGGATTTCGTTGGAGACGGGAATACATAAAGAAAGTAGACAGCAGCATTCTCGGGAGATTCTTTGTGATGTTTGCTTTGAAGTCACAGAGTTGAATATTCCCTTCAATAGAGCAGGTTTGAAACACTCTTTCTGTAGTATCTGGAAGTGGCCATTTCGATCGATTTCAGGCCTATGTTGTAAAAGGAAATATCTCAACATAAAAACTAGACAGAAGCATTCTCAGAAACTTCTTTGTGATGTGGGTCCTCAACTAACAGAGTTCAACTTTTCTTATGATACAGCAGCTTGAAAACACACTTTTTATAGAATTTGCAACTGGATACATGGATAGCTCTAACTATCTCGTTGGAAACGGGAATATCTTCATATAAAATCTCCACAGAAACACTCTCAGAAACTACTTTGTGATATCTGCATTGATATCAGAGAGTTGAATATTCCCTTTCTAAGGGCAGGCTTGAAAGCGTCTTTTCATGGAATCTGTAGGAGGATATTTGGATAGCTTTGAGGGTCACGTTGGAAACGGGATTACATGTACAAAGCAGACAGCAGCATTCTCAGAAGCTTCTTTATGATGTTTGCGTTCAAGTCACAGAGTTGAACGTTCCCTTTCATAGAGCAGGTTTCAAACCCTTTTTCTGCAGTATCTGGAAGTGGACATTTCGAGCGCTTTCAGGCCTATGGTGAACAAGGAAATATCTTCCCATGCAAACTAGACAGAAGCATTCGCAGAAACTTGTTTGTGATGTGTGTCCTCAACTCACGGAGTTGAACATTTCGTTTGACAGAGCAGTTTGGAAACACGATTTTTGTAGAATCTGCAAGTGGATATTTGGATGGCTTTGTGGATTTCGTTGGAAACGGGAGTATCTTCATAGACAACCTAGACAGTAACATGCTCAGAAACTGTTTTGTGATATCTGCATTCACGTCACAGAGTTGAACATTCCCTTTCATAGAGCAGGTTTGAAACACACTTTCTGTAGTATCTGGATGTGGGCACTTGGAGCGCTTGGACGCTTATGGTGAAAAAGGACATATCGTCCCATAGAAACTGGACAGAAGCATTCTCACAAACTGCTTTGTGACGTATGTCTTCAACTAACAGAGTTGAACATTTCTATTCACAGAGCAGTTTTGAAAGACTCTTTTGGAGTATCTGCTAGTGGATATTTGGAGAGCTTTAATGATTTCATTGGAAACTGGAATATCTTCAGGTAATATCTAGACAGAGGCATTCTCAGAAACTTCTTTGTAATGTGTGTCCTCAACTAACAGTGTACAACCTATCTTTTGATACAGCACGTTGGAAACACTCTTTTTATAGAATCTGCAAGTGGATATTTGGATAGCTCTAACGATTTCGTTGGAAACGGGAATACCTTCATATAAAATCTAGACAGTGGCACTCTCAGAAACTGCTTTGTGATATCTGCATTCAAGCCACAGAGTTGAACATTTCCCTTCCTAAAGCAGGTTTGAAACACTCTTTCTGTCGTATCTGGAAGTGGACATTTGGAGCACTTTGACGCCTTTGGTGAAAAAGGAAATGTCTTCCCATGAAAACTAGACAGAAGCATTCTAAGAAACATTTTTGGGATATATGTACTCAACTAACAGAGTTGAACCTTTCTCTTTATAGATCAGTTTTGGAAAGCTCTTTATGTGGAATCTGCAGATGGATATTCGGATAGCTCTGAGGATTTCGTTGGAGACGGGAATACATAAAGAAAGTAGACAGCAGCATTCTCGGGAGATTCTTTGTGATGTTTGCTTTGAAGTCACAGAGTTGAATATTCCCTTCAATAGAGCAGGTTTGAAACACTCTTTCTGTAGTATCTGGAAGTGGACATTTCGATCGATTTCAGGCCTATGTTGAAAAAGGAAATATCTTAACATAAAAACTAGACAGAAGCATTCTCAGAAACGTCTTTGTGATGTGTGTCCTCAACTAACAGAGTTCAACCTTTCTTATGATACAGCAGTTGGGAAACACTCTTTTTATAGAATTTGCAAGCTGATACATGGATAGCCCTAACTATTTCGTTGGAAACGGGAATATCTTCACATAAAACCTAGACAGAAGCACTCTCAGAAACTACTTTGTGATATCTGCATTGATATCAGAGAGTTGAATATTCCCTTTCTAAGGGCAGGCTTGAAAGCGTCTTTTCGTGGAATCTGCAGGAGGATATTTGGATAGCTTTGAGGGTTACGTTGGAAACGGGATTACATGTACAAAGCAGACAGCAGCATTCTCAGAAGCTTCTTTGTGATTTTTGCGTTTAAGTCACAGAGTTGAACGTTCCCTTTCATAGAGCAGCTTTCAAACCCTCTTTCTGCAGTATCTGGAAGTGGACATTTCGAGCGCTTTCAGGCCCATGGTGAACAAGGAAATATCTTCCCAAGCAAACTAGACAGAAGCATTCACAGAAACTTGTTTGTGATGTGTGTCCTCAACTCACAGAGTTGAACATTTCGTTTGACAGAGCAGTTTGGAAACACGATTTTTGTAGAATCTGCAAGTGGATATTTGGATGGCTTTGTGGATTTCGTTGGAAACGGGAGTATCTTCATAGACAACCTAGACAGTAACATTCTCAGAAACTGCTTTGTGATATCTGCATTAACGTCACAGAGTTGAACATTCCCTTTCATAGAGCAGGTTTGAAACACACTTTCTGTAGTATCTGGATGTGGGCACTTGGAGCGCTTGGACGCTTATGGTGAAAAAGGACATATCGTCCCATAAAAATTGGATAGAAGCATTCTCACAAACTGCTTTGTGACGTATGTCTTCAACTAACAGAGTTGAACATTTCTATTCACAGAGCAGTTTTGAAAGACTCTTTGGAGTATCTGCTAGTGGATATTTGGAGTGCTTTAAGGATTTCATTGGAAACCGGAAGATCTTCAGGTAAAATCTAGACAGAGGCATTCTCAGAAACTTCTTTGTAATGTGTGTCCTCAACTAACAGTGTACAACCTATCTTTTGATACAGCACGTTGGAAACACTCTTTTTATAGAATCTGCAAGTGGATAGTTGGATAGCTCTAACGATTTCGTTGGAAACGGGAAGACCTTCATATAAAATCTAGACAGTGGCACTCTCAGAAACTGCTTTGTGATATCTGCATTCAAGCCACAGAGTTGAACATTTCCCTTCCTAAAGCAGGTTTGAAACACTCTTTTTGTCGTATCTGGAAGTGGACATTTGGAGCACTTTGACGCCTTTGGTGAAAAAGGAAATGTCTTCCCATCAAAACTAGACAGAAGCTTTCTAAGCAAACATTTTTGGGATATATGTACTCAAGTAACAGAGTTGAACCTTTCTCTTTATAGATCAGTTTTGGAAAGCTCTTTATGTGGAATCTGCAAATGGATATTCGGATAGCTCTGAGGATTTCGTTGGAGACGGGAATACATAAAGAATGTAGACAGCCAGCATTCTCGGGAGATTCTTTGTGATGTTTGCTTTTAAGTCACAGAGTTGAATATTCCCTTCAATAGAGCAGGTTTGAAACACTCTTTCTGTAGTATCTGGAAGTGGACATTTCGATCGATTTCAGGCCTATGTTGAAAAAGGAAATATCGTAACATAAAAAATAGACAGAGCATTCTCAGAAACGTCTTTGTGATGTGTGTCCTCAACTAACAGAGTTCAACCTTTCTTATGATACAGCAGTTTGGAAACACTCTTTTTATAGAATTTGCAAGTTGATACATGGATAGCCCTAACTATTTCGTTGGAAACGGGAATATCTTCATATAAAACCTAGGCAGAAGCACTCTCAGAAACTACTTTGTGATATCTGCATTGATATCAGAGAGTTGAATATTCCCTTTCTAAGGGCAGGCTTGAAAGCGTCTTTTTGTGGAATCTGCAGGAGGATATTTGGATAGCTTGGAGGGTTACGTTGGAAACGGGATTACATATACAAAGTAGACAGCAGCATTCTCAGAAGCTTCTTTGTGATGTTTGCGTTTAAGTCACAGAGTTGAACGTTCCCTTTCATAGTGCAGGTTTCAAACCCTCTTTCTGCAGTATCTGGAAGTGGACATTTCGAGCGCTTTCAGGCCCATGGTGAACAAGGAAATATCTTCCCATGCAAACTAGACAGAAGCATTCGCAGAAACTTGTTTGTGATGTGTGTCCTCAACTCACAGAGTTGATCATTTCGTTTGACAGAGCAGTTTGGAGACACGCTTTTTGTAGAATCTGCAAGTGGATATTTGGATAGCTTTGTGGATTTCGTTGGACACGGGAGTATCTTCATAGAAAACCTAGACAGAAACATTCTCAGAAACGGCTTTGTGATATCCGCATTCACGTCACAGAGTTGAACTTTCCCTCTCATAGAGCAGGCTTGAAACACACTTTCTGTAGTATCTGGATGTGGGCACTTGGAGCGCTTGGACGCTTATGGTGAAAAAGGAAATATCGTCCCATAAAAACTAGACAGAAGCATTCTCACAAACTGTTTGTGACGTATGTCTTCAACTAACAGAGTTGAACATTTCTATTCACAGAGCAGTTTTGAAAGACTCTTTTGGAGTATCTGCTAGTGGATATTTGGAGAGCTTTAAGGATTTCATTGGAAACCGGAATATCTTCAGGTAAAATCTAGACAGAGGCATTGTCAGAAACTTCTTCATAATGTGTGTCCTCAACTAACAGTGTACAACCTATCTTTTGATACAGCACGTTGGAAACACTCTTTTTATAGAATCTGCAAGTGGATAGTTGGATAGCTCTAACGATTTCGTTGGAAACTGGAATACCTTCATATAAAATCTAGACAGTGGCACTCTCAGAAACTGCTTTGTGATATCTGCATTCAAGCCACAGAGTTGAACATTTCCCTTCCTAAAGCAGGTTTGAAACACTCTTTTTGTCGTATCTGGAAGTGGACATTTGGAGCACTTTGACGCCTTTGGTGAAAAAGAAAATGTCTTCCCATGAAAACTAGACAGAAGCATTCTAAGAAACATTTTTGGGATATATGTACTCAACTAACAGAGTTGAACCTTTCTCTTTATAGATCAGTTTTGGAAAGCTCTTTATGTGGAAACTGCAAATGGATATTCGGATAGCTCTGAGGATTTCGTTGGAGACGGGAATGCATAAAGAAAGTAGACAGCAGCATTCTCAGGAGATTCTTTGTGATGTTTGCTTTTAAGTCACAGAGTTGAATATTCCCTTCAATAGAGCAGGTTTGAAACACTCTTTCTGTAGTATCTGGAAGTGGACATTTCGATCGATTTCAGGCCTATGTTGAAAAAGGAAATACCTTAACATAAAAACTAGACAGAAGCATTCTCAGAAACGTCTTTGTGATGTGTGTCCTCAACTAACAGAGTTCAACCTTTCTTATGATACAGCAGTTTGGAAACACTCTTTTTATAGAATTTGCAAGTTGATACATGGATAGCCCTAACTATTTCGTTGGAAACGGTAATATCTTCATATAAAACCTAGGCAGAAGCACTCTCAGAAACTACTTTGTGATATCTGCATTGATATCAGAGAGTTGAATATTCCCTTTCTAAGGGCAGGCTTGAAAGCGTCTTTTCGTGGAATCTGCAGGAGGATATTTGGATAGCTTTGAGGGTTACGTTGGAAACGGGATTACATAGAGAATGTAGACAGCAGCATTCTCAGAAGCTTCTTTATGATGTTTGCGTTCAAGTCACAGAGTTGAACGTTCCCTTTCATAGTGCAGGTTTCAAACCCTCTTTCTGCAGTATCTGGAAGTGGACATTTCGAGCGCTTTCAGGCTTATGGTGAACAAGGAAATATCTTCCCATGCAAACTAGACAGAAGCATTCGCAGAAACTTGTTTGTGATGTGTGTCCTCAACTCACAGAGTTGAACATTTCGTTTGACAGAGCAGTTTGGAAACACGATTTTTGTAGAATCTGCAAGTGGATATTTGGATGGCTTTGTGGATTTCGTTGGAAACGGGAGTATCTTCATAGAAAACCTAGACAGTAACATTCTCAGAAACGGCTTTGTGATATCCGCATTCACGTCACAGAGTTGAACATTCCCTTTCATAGAGCAGGTTTGAAACACCCTTTCTGTAGTATCTGGATGTGGGCACTTGGAGCTCTTGGACGCTTATGGTGAAAAAGGAAATATCGTCCCATAAAACCTAGACAGAAGCATTCTCACAAACTGCTTTGTGACGTATGTCTTCAACTAACAGAGTTGAACATTTCTATTCACAGAGCAGTTTTGAAAGACTCTTTTGGAGTATCTGCTAGTGGATATTTGGAGAGCTTTAAGGATTTCATTGGAAACCGGAATATCTTCAGGTAAAATCTAGACAGAGGCATTCTCAGAAACTTCTTCGTAATGTGTGTCCTCAACTAACAGTGTACAACCTATCTTTTGATACAGCACGTTGGAAACACTCTTTTTATAGAATCTGCAAGTGGATAGTTGGATAGCTCTAACGATTTCGTTAGAAACGGGAATACCTTCATATAAAATCTAGACAGTGGCACTCTCAGAAACTGCTTTGTGATATCTGCATTCAAGCCACAGAGTTGAACATTTCCCTTCCTAAAGCAGGTTTGAAACACTCTTTCTGTCGTATCTGGAAGTGGACATTTGGAGCACTTTGACGCCTTTGGTGAAAAAGGAAATGTCTTCCCATGAAAACTAGACAGAAGCATTCTAAGAAACATTTTTGGGATATATGTACTCAACTAACAGAGTTCAACCTTTCTCTTTATATATCAGTTTTGGAAAGCTCTTTATGTGGAATCTGCAGATGGATATTCGGATAGCTCTGAGGATTTCGTTGGAGACGGGAATACATAAAGAAAGTAGACAGCAGCATTCTCGGGAGATTCTTTGTGATGTTTGCTTTGAAGTCACAGAGTTGAATATTCCCTTCAATAGAGCAGGTTTGAAACACTCTTTCTGTAGTATCTGGAAGTGGCCATTTCGATCGATTTCAGGCCTATGTTGAAAAAGGAAATATCTCTACATAAAAACTAGACAGAAGCATTCTCAGAAACGTCTTTGTGATGTGTGTCCTCAACTAACAGAGTTCAACCTTTCTTATGATACAGCAGTTGGGAAACACTCTTTTTATAGAATTTGCAAGCTGATACATGGATAGCCCTAACTATTTCGTTGGAAACGGGAATATCTTCACATAAAACCTAGACAGAAGCACTCTCAGAAACTACTTTGTGATATCTGCATTGATATCAGAGAGTTGAATATTCCCTTTCTAAGGGCAGGCTTGAAAGCGTCTTTTCATGGAATCTGTAGGAGGATATTTGGATAGCTTTGAGGGTCACGTTGGAAACGGGATTACATGTACAAAGCAGACAGCAGCATTCTTAGAAGATTCTTTATGATGTTTGCATTCAAGTCACAGAGTTGAACGTTCCCTTTCATAGAGCAGGTTTCAAACCCCCTTTCTGCAGTATCTGGAAGCGGACATTTCGAGCGCTTTCAGGCCTATGGTGAACAAGGAAATATCTTCCCATGCAAACTAGACAGAAGCATTCGCAGAAACTTGTTTGTGATGTGTGTCCTCAACTCACAGAGTTGAACATTTCGTTTGACAGAGCAGTTTGGAAACACGATTTTTGTAGAATCTGCAAGTGGATATTTGGATGGCTTTGTGGATTTCGTTGGAAACGGGAGTATCTTCATAGAAAACCTAGACAGTAACATGCTCAGAAACTGCTTTGTGATATCTGTATTCACGTCACAGAGTTGAACATTCCCTTTCATAGAGCAGGTTTGAAACACACTTTCTGTAGTATCTGGATGTGGGCACTTGGAGCGCTTGGACGCTTATGGTGAAAAAGGACATATCGTCGCATAAAAACTGGACAGAAGCATTCTCACAAACTGCTTTGAGACGTATGTCGTCAGCTAACAGAGTTGAACATTTCTATTCACAGAGCAGTTTTGAAAGACTCTTTTGGAGTATCTGCTAGTGGATATTTGGAGAGCTTTAAGGATTTCACCGGAAACCGGAATATCTTCAGGTAAAATCTAGACAGAGGCATTCTCAGAAACTTCTTCTTAATGTGTGTCCTCAACTAAGAGTGTGCAACCTATGTTTTGATACAGCACGTTGGAAACACTCTTTTTATAGAATCTGCAAGTGGATAGTTGGATAGCTCTAACGATTTCGTTGGAAACGGGAATACCTTCATATAAAATGTAGACAGTGGCACTCTCAGAAACTGCTTTGTGATATCTGCATTCAAGCCACAGAGTTGAACATTTCCCTTCCTAAAGCAGGTTTGAAACACTCTTTCTGTCGTATCTGGAAGTGGACATTTGGAGCACTTTGACGCCTTTGGTGAAAAAGGAAATGTCTTCCCATGAAAACTAGACAGAAGCATTCTAAGAAACATTTTTGGGATATATGTACTCAACTAACAGAGTTGAACCTTTCTCTTTATAGATCAGTTTTGGAAAGCTCTTTATGTGGAATCTGCAGATGGATATTCGGATAGCTCTGAGGATTTCGTTGGAGACGGGAATACATAAAGAAAGTAGACAGCAGCATTCTCAGGAGATACTTTGTGATGTTTGCTTTTAAGTCACAGAGTTGAATATTCCCTTCAATAGAGCAGGTTTGAAACACTCTTTCTGTAGTATCTGGAAGTGGACATTTCGATCGATTTCAGGCCTATGTTGAAAAAGGAAATACCTTAACATAAAAACTAGACAGAAGCATTCTCAGAAACGTCTTTGTGATGTGTGTCCTCAACTAACAGAGTTCAACCTTTCTTATGATACAGCAGTTTGGAAACACTCTTTTTATAGAATTTGCATGTTGATATATGGATAGCCCTAACTATTTCGTTGGAAACGGGAATATCTTCATATAAAACCTAGACAGAAGCACTCTCAGAAACTACTTTGTGATATCTGCATTGATATCAGAGAGTTGAATATTCCCTTTCTAAGGGCAGGCTTGAAAGCGTCTTTTCGTGGAATCTGCGGGAGGATATTTGGATAGCTTTGAGGATTACGTTGGAAACCGGATTACATATACAAAGTAGACAGCAGCATTCTCAGAAGCTTCTTTATGATGTTTGCGTTTAAGTCACAGAGTTGAACGTTCCCTTTCATAGAGCAGGTTTCAAACCCTCTTTCTGCAGTATCTGGAAGTGGACATTTCGAGCGCTTTCAGGCCCATGGTGAACAAGGAAATATCTTCCCATGCAAACTAGACAGAAGCATTCACAGAAACTTGTTTGTGATGTGTGTCCTCAACTCACAGAAGTTGAACATTTCGTTTGACAGAGCAGTTTGGAAACACGATTTTTGTAGAATCTGCAAGTGGATATTTGGATGGCTTTGTGGATTTCGTTGGAAATGGGAGTATCTTCATAGAAAACCTAGACAGTAACATGCTCAGAAACTGTTTTGTGATATCTGCATTCACGTCACAGAGTTGAACATTCCCTTTCATAGAGCAGGTTTGAAACACACTTTCTGTAGTATCTGGATGTGGGCACTTGGAGCGCTTGGACGCTTATGGTGAAAAAGGACAGATCGTCCCATAAAAACTGGACAGAAGCATTCTCACAAACTGCTTTGTGACGTATGTCTTCAACTAACAGAGTTGAACATTTCTATTCACAGAGCAGTTTTGAAAGACTCTTTTGGAGTATCTGCTAGTGGATATTTGGAGAGCTTTAAGGATTTCATTGGAAACCGGAATATCTTCAGGTAAAATCTAGACAGAGGCATTCTCAGAAACTTCTTTGTAATGTGTGACCTCAACTAACAGTGTACAACCTATTTTTGATACAGCACGTTGGAAACAGTTTTTTTATAGAATCTGCAAGTGGATATTTGGATAGCTCTAACGATTTCGTTGGAAACGGGAATCCTTTCATATAAAATCTAGACAGTGGCACTCTCAGAAACTGCTTTGTGATATCTGCATTCAAGCCACAGAGTTGAACATTTCCCTTCCTAAAGCAGGTTTGAAACACTCTTTTTGTCGTATCTGGAAGTGGACATTTGGAGCAGTTTGACGCCTTTGGTGAAAAAGGAAATGTCTTCCCATCAAAACTTGACAGAAGCATTCTAAGAAACATTTTTGGGATATATGTACTCAACTAACAGAGTTGAACCTTTCTCTTTATAGATTAGTTTTGGAAAGCTCTTTATGCGGAATCTGCAGATGGATATTCGGATAGCTCTGAGGATTTCGTTGGAGACGGGAATACATAAAGAAAGTAGACAGCAGCATTCTCAGGAGATTCTTTGTGATGTTTACTTTTAAGTCACACAGTTGAATATTCCCTTCAATAGAGCAGGTTTGAAACACTCTTTCTGTAGTATCTGGAAGTGGACATTTCGATCGATTACAGGCCTATGTTGAAAAAGGAAATATTTTAACATAAAAACTAGACAGAAGCATTCTCAGAAACGTCTTTGTGATGTGTGTCCTCAACTAACAGAGTTCAACCTTTCTTATGATACAGCAGTTTGGAAACACTCTTTTTATAGAATTTGCAAGTTGATACATGGATAGCCCTAACTATTTCGTTGGAAACGGGAATATCTTCATATAAAACCTAGGCAGAAGCACTCTCAGAAACTACTTTGTGATATCTGCATTGATATCAGAGAGTTGAATATTCCCTTTCTAAGGGAAGGCTTGAAAGCGTCTTTTCGTGGAATCTGCGGGAGGATATTTGGATAGCTTGGAGGGATACGTTGGAAACGGGATTACATAAACAAAGTAGACAGCAGCATTCTCAGAAGATTCTTTGCGATGTTTGCGTTTAAGTCACAGAGTTGAAAGTTCCCTTTCATAGAGCAGGTTTCAAACCCTCTTTCTGCAGTATCTGGAAGTGGACATTTCGAGCGCTTTCAGGCCTTTGGTGAACAAGGAAATATCTTCCCAAGCAAACTAGACAGAAGCATTCGCAGAAACTTGTTTCTGATGTGTGTCCTCAACTCACGGAGTTGAACATTTCGTTTGACAGAGCAGTTCGGAAACACGATTTTTGTAGAATCTTCAAGTGGATATTTGGATGGCTTTGTGGATTTCGTTGGAAACGGGAGTATCTTCATAGACAACCTAGACAGTAACATGCTCAGAAACTGCTTTGTGATATCTGCATTCACGTCACAGAGTTGAACATTCCCTTTCATAGAGCAGGTTTGAAACACACTTTCTGTAGTATCTGGATGTGGGCACTTGGAGCGCTTGGACGCTTATG
This sequence comes from Homo sapiens, assembly GCF_000001405.40. Lineage (NCBI taxonomy): Eukaryota > Metazoa > Chordata > Mammalia > Primates > Hominidae > Homo > Homo sapiens. Next base: position 15,708,008 of record NC_000018.10, read on the forward strand.
GTGAAAAAGGACATATCGTCCCATAAAAACTGGACAGAAGCATTCTCACAAACTGCTTTGTGACGTATGTCTTCAACTAACAGAGTTGAACATTTCTATTCACAGAGCAGTTTTGAAAGACTCTTTTGGAGTATCTGCTAGTGGATATTTGGAGAGCTTTAAGGATTTCATTGGAAACCGGAATATCTTCAGGTAAAATCTAGACAGAGGCATTCTCAGAAACTTCTTTGTAATGTGTGTCCTCAACTAACAGTGTACAACCTATCTTTTGATACAGCACGTTGGAAACACTCTTTTTATAGAATCTGCAAGTGGATATTTGGATAGCTCTAACGATTTCGTTGGAAACGGGAATACCTTCATATAAAATCTAGACAGTGGCACTCTCAGAAACTGCTTTGTGATATCTGCATTCAAGCCACAGAGTTGAACATTTCCCTTCCTAAAGCAGGTTTGAAACACTCTTTCTGTCGTATCTGGAAGTGGACATTTGGAGCACTTTGACGCCTTTGGTGAAAAAGGAAATGTCTTCCCATCAAAACTAGACAGAAGCTTTCTAAGAAACATTTTTGGGATATATGTACTCAACTAACAGAGTTGAACCTTTCTCTTTATAGATCAGTTTTGGAAAGCTCTTTATGTGGAATCTGCAGATGGATATTCGGATAGCTCTGAGGATTTCGTTGGAGACGGGAATACATAAAGAAAGTAGACAGCAGCAATCTCAGGAGATTCTTTGTGATGTTTGCTTTTAAGTCACAGAGTTGAATATTCCCTTCAATAGAGCAGGTTTGAAACACTCTTTCTGTAGTATCCGGAAGTGGACATTTCGATCGATTTCAGGCCTATGTTGAAAAAGGAAATACCTTAACATAAAAACTAGACAGAAGCATTCTCAGAAACGTCTTTGTGATGTGTGTCCTCAACTAACAGAGTTCAACTTTTCTTATGATACAGCAGTTTGGAAACACTCTTTTTATAGAATTTGCAAGTTGATACATGGATAGCCCTAACTATTTCGTTGGAAACTGGAATATCTTCATATAAAACCGAGACAGAAGCACTCTCAGAAACTACTTTGTGATATCTGCGTTGATATCAGAGAGTTGAATATTCCCTTTCTAAGGGCAGGCTTGAAAGCGTCTTTTCGTGGAATCTGCAGGAGGATATTTGGATAGCTTTGAGGGTTACGTTGGAAACGGGATTACATATACAAAGTAGACAGCAGCATTCTCAGAAGCTTCTTTGTGATGTTTGCGTTTAAGTCACAGAGATGAACGTTCCCTTTCATATAGCAGTTTTCAAACCCTCTTTCTACAGTATCTGGAAGTGGACATTTCGAGCGCTTTCAGGCCTATGGTGAACAAGGAAATATCTTCCCAAGCTAACTAGACAGAAGCATTCGCAGAAACTTGTTTGTGATGTGTGTCCTCAACTCACGGAGTTGAACATTTCGTTTGACAGAGCAGTTTGGAAACACAATTTTTGTAGAATCTGCAAGTGGATATTTGGATGGCTTTGTGGATTTCGTTGGAAACGGGAGTATCTTCACAGACAACCTAGACAGTAACATGCTCAGAAACTGCTTTGTGATATCTGCATTCACGTCACAGAGTTGAACATTCCCTTTCATAGAGCAGGTTTGAAACACACTTTCTGTAGTATCTGGATGTGGGCACTTGGAGCGCTTGGACGCTTATGGTGAAAAAGGACATATCGTCCCATAAAAACTGGACAGAAGCATTCTCACAAACTGCTTTGTGACGTATGTCTTCAACTAACAGAGTTGAACATTTCTATTCACAGAGCAGTTTTGAAAGACTCTTTTGGAGTATCTGCTAGTGGATATTTGGAGAGCTTTAAGGATTTCATTGGAAACCGGAATATCTTCAGGTAAAATCTAGACAGAGGCATTCTCAGAAAATTCTTTGTGATGTGTGTCCTCAACTAACAGAGTACAACCTGTCTTTTGATACAGCAGTTTGGAAACACTCTTTTTCCAGAATCTGCAAGTGGAAATTTGGATAGCTCTAACGATTTCGTTGGAAACGGGAATACCTTCATATGAAATCTAGACAGTGGCACTCTCAGAAACTGCTTTGTGATATCTGCATTCAAGCCACAGAGTTGAACATTTCCCTTCCTAAAGCAGGTTTGAAACACTCTATTTGTCGTATCTGGAAGTGGACATTTGGAGCACTTTGACGCCTTTGGTGAAAAAGGAAATGTCTTCCCATCAAAACTAGACAGAAGCTTTCTAAGAAACATTTTTGGGATATATGTACTCAACTAACAGAGTTGAACCTTTCTCTTTATAGATCAGTTTTGGAAAGCTCTTTATGTGGAATCTGCAGATGGATATTCGGATAGCTCTGAGGATTTCGTTGGAGACGGGAATACATAAAGAAAGTAGACAGCAGCATTCTCGGGAGATTCTTTGTGATGTTTGCTTTTAAGTCACAGAGTTGAATATTCCCTTCAATAGAGCAGGTTTGAAACACTCTTTCTGTAGTATCTGGAAGTGGACATTTCGATCGATTTCAGGCCTATGTTGAAAAAGGAAATATCGTAACATAAAAACTAGACAGAAGCATTCTCAGAAACGTCTTTGTGATGTGTGTCCTCAACTAACAGAGTTCAACCTTTCTTATGATACAGCAGTTGGGAAACACTCTTTTTATAGAATTTGCAAGTTGATACATGGATAGCCCTAACTATTTCGTTGGAAACGGGAATATCTTCACATAAAACCTAGACAGAAGCACTCTCAGAAACTACTTTGTGATATCTGCATTGATATCAGAGAGTTGAATATTCCCTTTCTAAGGGCAGGCTTGAAAGTGTCTTTTCGTGGAATCTGCAGGAGGATATTTGGATAGCTTTGAGGGTTACGTTGGAAACGGGATTACATATACAAAGTAGACAGCAGCATTCTCAGAAGCTTCTTTATGATGTTTGCGTTCAAGTCACAGAGTTGAACGTTCCCTTTCATAGAGCAGGTTTCAAACCCTCTTTCTGCAGTATCTGGAAGTGGACATTTCGAGCGCTTTCAGGCCTATGGTGAACAAGGAAATATCTTCCCATGCATACTAGACAGAAGCATTCGCAGAAACTTGTTTGTGATGTGTGTCCTCAACTCACGGAGTTGAACATTTCGTTTGACAGAGCAGTTTGGAAACACGATTTTTGTAGAATCTGCAAGTGGATATTTGGATGGCTTTGTGGATTTCGTTGGAAACGGGAGTATCTTCACAGACAACCTAGACAGTAACATTCTCAGAAACGGCTTTGTGATATCCGCATTCACGTCACAGAGTTGAACATTCCCTTTCATAGAGCAGGTTTGAAACACCCTTTCTGAAGTATCTGGATGTGGGCACTTGGAGCTCTTGGACGCTTATGGTGAAAAAGGAAATATCGTCCCATAAAACCTAGACAGAAGCATTCTCACAAACTGCTTTGAGACGTATGTCATCAGCTAACAGAGTTGAACATTTCTATTCACAGAGCAGTTTTGAAAGACTCCTTTGGAGTATCTGCTAGTGGATATGTGGAGAGCTTTAAGGATTTCATCGGAAACCGGAATATCCTCAGGTAAAATCTAGACAGAGGCATTCTCAGAAATTTCTTTGTGATGTGTGTACTCACCGACCAGAGTACAACCTGTCTTTTGATACAGCAGTTTGGAAACACTCTTTTTACAGAATCTGCAAGTGGATATTTGGATAGCTCTAACGATTTCGTGGGAAACGGGAACACCTTCATATAAAATCTAGACAGTGGCACTCTCAGAAACTGCTTTGTGATATCTGCTTTCAAGTCACAGAGTTCAACATTTCCTTTCATAAAGCAGGTTTAAAACACTCTTTTGGTAGTATCTGGAAGTGGACATTTGGAGAACTTTGACGCCTTTGGTGAAAAAGGAAATGTCTTCACATCAAAACTAGACCGAAGCTTTCTAAGAAACATTTTTGGGATATATGTACTCAACTAACAGAGTTGAACCTTTCTCTTTATAGATCAGTTTTGGAAAGCTCTTTATGTGGAATCTGCAGATGGATATTCGGATAGCTCTGAGGATTTCGTTGGAGACGGGAATACATAAAGAAAGTAGACAGCAGCATTCTCGGGAGATTCTTTGTGATGTTTGCTTTGAAGTCACAGAGTTGAATATTCCCTTCAATAGAGCAGGTTTGAAACACTCTTTCTGTAGTATCTGGAAGTGGACATTTCGATCGATTTCAGGCCTATGTTGAAAAAGGAAATATCTTAACATAAAAACTAGACAGAAGCATTCTCAGAAACGTCTTTGTGATGTGTGTCCTCAACTAACAGAGTTCAACCTTTCTTATGATACAGCAGTTTGGAAACACTCTTTTTATAGAATTTGCAAGTTGATACATGGATAGCCCTAAGTATTTCGTTGGAAACGGGAATATCTACATATAAAACCTAGGCAGAAGCACTCTCAGAAACTACTTTGTGATATCTGCATTGATATCAGAGAGTTGAATATTCCCTTTCTAAGGGCAGGCTTGAAAGCGTCTTTTCGTGGAATCTGCGGGAGGATATTTGGATAGCTTTGAGGGTTACGTTGGAAACGGGATTACATATACAAAGTAGACAGCAGCATTCTCAGAAGCTTCTTTGTGATGTTTGCGTTTAAGTCACAGAGTTGAACCTTCCCTTTCATAGAGCAGGTTTCAAACCCTCTTTCTGCAGTATCTGGAAGTGGACATTTCGAGCGCTTTCAGGCCCATGGTGAACAAGGAAATATCTTCCCATGCAAACTAGACAGAAGCATTCGCAGAAACTTGTTTGTGATGTGTGTCCTCAACTCACGGAGTTGAACATTTCGTTTGACAGAGCAGTTTGGAAACACGATTTTTGTAGAATCTGCAAGTGGATATTTGGATGGCTTTGTGGATTTCGTTGGAAACGGGAGTATCTTCACAGACAACCTAGACAGTAACATGCTCAGAAACTGTTTTGTGATATCTGCATTCACGTCACAGAGTTGAACATTCCCTTTCATAGAGCAGGTTTGAAACACACTTTCTGTAGTATCTGGATGTGGGCACTTGGAGCGCTTGGACGCTTATGGTGAAAAAGGACATATCGTCCCATAAAAACTGGACAGAAAGCATTCTCACAAACTGCTTTGTGACGTATGTCGTCAGCTAACAGAGTTGAGCATTTCTATTCACAGAGCAGTTTTGAAAGACTCTTTTGGAGTATCTGCTAGTGGATATGTGGAGAGCTTTAAGGATTTCACCGGAAACCGGAATATCTTCAGGTAAAATCTAGACAGGGCATTCTCAGAAACTTCTTCATAATATGTGTCCTCAACTAACCGTGTACAACCTATCTTTTGAAACAGCACGTTGGAAACACTCTTTTTATAGAATCTGCAAGTGGATAGTTGGATAGCGCTAACGATATCGTTGGAAACGGGAATACCTTTATATAAAATCTAGACAGTGGCACTCTCAGAAACTGCTTTGTGATATCTGCATTCAAGCCACAGAGTTGAATATTTCCCTTCCAAAAGCAGGTTTGAAACACTCTTTTTGTCGTATCTGGAAGTGGACATTTGGAGCACTTTGACGCCTTTGGTGAAAAAGGAAATGTCTTCCCATCAAAACTAGACAGAAGCATTCTAAGAAACATTTTTGGGATATATGTACTCAACTAACGGAGTTGAACCTTTCTCTCTATAGATCAGTTTTGGAAAGCTCTTTATGTGGAATCTGCAGATGGATATTCGGATAGCTCTGAGGGTTTCGTTGGAGACGGGAATACATAAAGAAAGTAGACAGCAGCATTCTCAGGAGATTCTTTGTGATGTTTGCTTTTAAGTCACAGAGTTGAATATTCTCTTCAATAGAGCAGGTTTGAAACACTCTTTCTGTAGTATCTGGAAGTGGACATTTCGATCGATTACAGGCCTATGTTGAAAAAGGAAATATCTTAACATAAAAATTAGACAGAAGCATTCTCAGAAACGTCTTTGTGATGTGTGTCCTCAACTAACAGAGTACAACCTTTCTTATGATACAGCAGTTTGGAAACACTCTTTTTGTAGAATTTGCAAGTTGATACATGGATAGCCCTAACTATTTCCTTGGAAACGGGAATATCTTCATATAAAACCTAGACAGAAGCACTCTCAGAAACTAATTTGTGATATCTGCATTGATATCAGAGAGTTGAATATTCCCTTTCTAAGAGCAGGCTTGAAAGCGTCTTTTCGTGGAATCTGCAGGAGGACATTTCGATAGCTTTGAGGGTTATGTTGGAAACGGGATTACATATACAAAGTAGACAGCAGCATTCTCAGAAGCTTCTTTGTGATGTTTGCGTTTAAGTCACAGAGTTGAACGTTCCCTTTCATAGAGCAGGTTTCAAACCCTCTTTCTGCAGTATCTGGAAGTGGACATTTCGAGCGCTTTCAGGCCTTTGGTGAACAAGGAAATATCTTCCCAAGCAAACTAGACAGAAGCATTCGCAGAAACTTGTTTGTGATGTGTGTCCTCAACTCACAGAGTTGAACATTTCGTTTGACAGAGCAGTTTGGAAACACGATTTTTGTAGAATCTGCAAGTGGATATTTGGATGGCTTTGTGGATTTCGTTGGAAACGGGAGTATCTTCATAGACAACCTAGACAGTAACATTCTCAGAAACTGCTTTGTGATATCTGCATTCACGTCACAGAGTTGAACATTCCCTTTCATAGAGCAGGTTTGAAACACACTTTCTGTAGTATCTGGATGTGGGCACTTGGAGCGCTTGGACGCTTATGGTGAAAAAGGACATATCATCCCATAAAAACTGGACAGAAGCATTCTCACAAACTGCTTTGTGACGTATGTCTTCAACTAACAGAGTTGAACATTTCTATTCACAGAGCAGTTTTGAAAGACTCTTTTGGAGTATCTGCTAGTGGATATTTGGAGAGCTTTAAGGATTTCATTGGAAACCGGAATATCTTCAGGTAAAATCTAGACAGAGGCATTCTCAGAAACTTCTTTGTAATGTGTGTCCTCAACTAACAGTGTACAACCTATCTTTTGATACAGCACGTAGGAAACACTCTTTTTATAGAATCTGCAAGTGGGTAGTTGGATAGCTCTAACGATTTCGTTGGAAAGGGGAAGACCTTCATATAAAATCTAGACAGTGGCACTCGCAGAAACTGCTTTGTGATATCTGCATTCAAGCCACAGAGTTGAACATTTCCCTTCCTAAAGCAGGTTTGAAACACTCTTTCTGTCGTATCTGGAAGTGGACATTTGGAGCACTTTGACGCCTTTGGTGAAAAAGGAAATGTCTTCCCATCAAAACTAGACAGAAGCATTCTAAGAAACATTTTTGGGATATATGTACTCAACTAACAGAGTTGAACCTTTCTCTTTATAGATCAGTTTTGGAAAGCTCTGTATGTGGAATCTGCAGATGGATATTCGGATAGCTCTGAGGATTTCGTTGGAGACGGGAATACATAAAGAAAGTAGACAGCAGCATTCTCAGGAGATTCTTTGTGATGTTTGCTTTTAAGTCACAGAGTTGAATATTTCCTTCAATAGAGCAGGTTTGAAACACTCTTTCTGTAGTATCTGGAAGTGGACATTTCGATCGATTTCAGGCCTATGTTGAAAAAGGAAATATCTTAACATCAAAACTAGACAGAAGCATTCTCAGAAACGTCTTTGTGATGTGTGTCCTCAACTAACAGAGTTCAACCTTTCTTATGATACAGCAGTTTGGAAACACTCTTTTTATAGAATTTGCAAGCTGATACATGGATAGCCCTAACTATTTTGTTGGAAACGGGAATATCTTCACATAAAACCTAGACAGAAGCACTCTCAGAAACTACTTTGTGATATCTGCATTGATATCAGAGAGTTGAATATTCCCTTTCTAAGGGCAGGCTTGAAAGCGTCTTTTCGTGGAATCTGCAGGAGGATATTTGGATAGCTTTGAGGGTTACGTTGGAAACGGGATTACATTTACAAAGCAGACAGCAGCATTCTCAGAAGCTTCTTTGTGATGTTTGCGTTTAAGTCACAGGGTTGAACGTTCCCTTTCATAGAGCAGGTTTCAAACCCTCTTTCTGCAGTATCTGGAAGTGGACATTTCGAGCGCTTTCAGGCCCATGGTGAACAAGGAAATATCTTCCCATGCAAACTAGACAGAAGCATTCGCAGAAACTTGTTTGTGATGTGTGTCCTCAACTCACAGAGTTGAACATTTCGTTTGACAGAGCAGTTTGGAAACACGATTTTTGTAGAATCTGCAAGTGGATATTTGGATGGCTTTGTGGATTTCGTTGGAAACGGGAGTATCTTCATAGAAAACCTAGACAGTGTAACATTCTCAGAAACGGCTTTGTGATATCCGCATTCACGTCACAGAGTTGAACATTCCCTTTCATAGAGCAGGTTTGAAACACCCTTTCTGTAGTATCTGGATGTGGGCACTTGGAGCTCTTGGACGCTTATGGTGAAAAAGGAAATATCGTCCCATAAAACCTAGACAGAAGCATTCTCACAAACTGCTTTGTGACGTATGTCGTCAGCTAACAGAGTTGAGCATTTCTATTCACAGAGCAGTTTTGAAAGACTCTTTTGGAGTATCTGCTAGTGGATATGTGGAGAGCTTTAAGGATTTCACTGGAAACCGGAATATCTTCAGGTAAAATCTAGACAGAGGCATTCTCAGAAACTTCTTTGTAATGTGTGTCCTCAACTAACAGTGTACAACCTATCTTTTGATACAGCACGTTGGAAACACTCTTTTTATAGAATCTGCAAGTGGATATTTGGATAGCTCTAATGATTTCGTTGGAAACGGGAATCCCTTCATATAAAATCTAGACAGTGGCACTCGCAGAAACTGCTTTGTGATATCTGCATTCAAGCCACAGAGTTGAACATTTCCCTTCCTAAAGCAGGTTTGAAACACTCTTTCTGTCGTATCTGGAAGTGGACATTTGGAGCACTTTGACGCCTTTGGTGAAAAAGGAAATGTCTTCCCATCAAAACTAGACAGAAGCTTTCTAAGAAACATTTTTGGGATATATGTACTCAACTAACAGAGTTGAACCTTTCTCTTTATAGATCAGTTTTGGAAAGCTCTTTATGTGGAATCTGCAGATGGATATTCGGATAGCTCTGAGGATTTCGTTGGAGACGGGAATACATAAAGAAAGTAGACAGCAGCATTCTCAGGAGATTCTTTGTGATGTTTGCTTTTAAGTCACAGAGTTGAATATTCCCTTCAATAGAGCAGGTTTGAAACACTCTTTCTGTAGTATCTGGAAGTGGACATTTCGATCGATTACAGGCCTATGTTGAAAAAGGAAATATCTTAACATAAAAACTAGACAGAAGCATTCTCAGAAACGTCTTTGTGATGTGTGTCCTCAACTAACAGAGTTCAACCTTTCTTATGATACAGCAGTTTGGAAACACTCTTTTTATAGAATTTGCAAGTTGATACATGGATACCCTAACTATTTCGTTGGAAACGGGAATATCTTCATATAAAACCTAGACAGAAGCACTCTCAGAAACTACTTTGTGATATCTGCATTGATATCAGAGAGTTGAATATTCCCTTTCTAAGGGAAGGCTTGAAAGCGTCTTTTCGTGGAATCTGCTGGAGGATATTTGGATAGCTTTGAGGGTTACTTTGGAAACGGGATTACATATACAAAGTAGACAGCAGCATTCTCAGAAGCTTCTTTGTGATGTTTGCGTTTAAGTCACAGAGATGAACGTTCCCTTTCATATAGCAGGTTTCAAACCCTCTTTCTACAGTATCTGGAAGTGGACATTTCGAGCGCTTTCAGGCCTATGGTGAACAAGGAAATATCTTCCCAAGCTAACTAGACAGAAGCATTCGCAGAAACTTGTTTGTGATGTGTGTCCTCAACTCACAGATTTGAACATTTCGTTTGACAGAGCAGTTTGGAAACACGATTTTTGTAGAATCTGCAAGTGGATATTTGGATGGCTTTGTGGATTTCGTTGGAAACGGGAGTATCTTCATAGACAACCTAGACAGTAACATTCTCAGAAACGGCTTTGTGATATCCGCATTCACGTCACAGAGTTGAACATTCCCTTTCATAGAGCAGGTTTGAAACACCCTTTCTGAAGTATCTGGATGTGGGCACTTGGAGCTCTTGGACGCTTATGGTGAAAAAGGAAATATCGTCCCATAAAACCTAGACAGAAGCATTCTCACAAACTGCTTTGTGACGTATGTCGTCAGCTAACAGAGTTGAGCATTTCTATTCACAGAGCAGTTTTGAAAGACTCTTTTGGAGTATCTGCTAGTGGATATGTGGAGAGCTTTAAGGATTTCACTGGAAACCGGAATATCTTCAGGTAAAATCTAGACAGAGGCATTCTCAGAAACTTCTTCGTAATGTGTGTCCTCAACTAACAGTGTACAACCTATCTTTTGATACAGCACGTTGGAAACACTCTTTTTATAGAATCTGCAAATGGATAGTTGGATAGCTCTAACGATTTCATTGGAAACGGGAATACCTACATATAAAATCTAGACAGTGGCACTCTCAGAAACTGCTTTGTGATATCTGCATTCAAGCCACAGAGTTGAACATTTCCCTTCCTGAAGCAGGTTTGAAACACTCTTTTTGTCGTATCTGGAAGTGGACATTTGGAGCACTTTGACGCCTTTGGTGAAAAAGGAAATGTCTTCCCATGAAAACTAGACAGAAGCATTCTAAGAAACATTTTTGGGATATATGTACTGAACTAACAGAGTTGAACCTTTCTCTTTATAGATCAGTTTTGGAAAGCTCTTTATGTGGAATCTGCAGATGGATATTAGGATAGCTCTGAGGATTTCGTTGGAGACGGGAATACATAAAGAAAGTAGACAGCAGCATTCTCGGGAGATTCTTTGTGATGTTTGCTTTGAAGTCACAGAGTTGAATATTCCCTTCAATAGAGCAGGTTTGAAACACTCTTTCAGTAATATCTGGAAGTGGACATTTCGATCGATTTCAGGCCTACGTTGAAAAAGGAAATATCTCAACATAAAAACTAGACAGAAGCATTCTCAGAAACGTCTTTGTGATGTGTGTCCTCAACTAACAGAGTTCAACCTTTCTTATGATACAGCAGTTGGGAAACACTCTTTTTATAGAATTTGCAAGTTGATACATGGATAGCCCTAACTATTTCGTTGGAAACGGGAATATCTTCACATAAAACCTAGACAGAAGCACTCTCAGAAACTACTTTGTGATATCTGCATTGATATCAGAGAGTTGAATATTCCCTGTCTAAGGGCAGGCTTGAAAGCGTCTTTTCGTGGAATCTGCAGGAGGATATTTTGATAGCTTTGAGGGTTACGTTGGAAACCGGATTAAATATACAAAGTAGACAGCAGCATTCTCAGAAGCTTCTTTATGATGTTTGCGTTTAAGTCACAGAGTTGAACGTTCCCTTTCATAGAGCAGGTTTCAAACCCTCTTTCTGCAGTATCTGGAAGTGGACATTTCGAGCGCTTTCAGGCCCATGGTGAACAAGGAAATATCTTCCTATGCAAACTAGACAGAAGCATTCGCAGAAACTTGTTTGTGATGTGTGTCCTCAACTCACGGAGTTGAACATTTCGTTTGACAGAGCAGTTTGGAAACACGATTTTTGTAGAATCTGCAAGTGGATATTTGGATGGCTTTGTGGACTTCGTTGGAAACGGGAGTATCTTCATAGACAACCTAGACAGTAACATGCTCAGAAACTGTTTTGTGATATCTGCATTCACGTCACAGAGTTGAACATTCCCTTTCATAGAGCAGGTTTGAAACACACTTTCTGTAGTATCTGGATGTGGGCACTTGGAGCTCTTGGACGCTTATGGTGAAAAAGGACATATCGTCCCATAAAAACTGGACAGAAGCATTCTCACAAACTGCTTTGTGACGTATGTCTTCAACTAACAGAGTTGAACATTTCTATTCACAGAGCAGTTTTGAAAGACTCTTTTGGAGTATCTGCTAGTGGATATTTGGAGAGCTTTAAGGATTTCATTGGAAACCGGAATATCTTCAGGTAAAATCTAGACAGAGGCATTCTCAGAAACTTCTTCGTAATGTGTGTCCTCAACTAACAGTGTACAACCTATCTTTTGATACAGCACGTTGGAAACACTCTTTTTATAGAATCTGCAAGTGGATAGTTGGATAGCTCTAACGATTTCGTTGGAAACGGGAATACCTTCATATAAAATCTAGACAGTGGCACTCGCAGAAACTGCTTTGTGATATCTGCATTCAAGCCACAGAGTTGAACATTTCCCTTCCTAAAGCAGGTTTGAAACACTCTTTCTGTCGTATCTGGAAGTGGACATTTGGAGCACTTTGACGCCTTTGGTGAAAAAGGAAATGTCTTCCCATCAAAACTAGACAGAAGCATTCTAAGAAACATTTTTGGGATATATGTACTCAACTAACGGAGTTGAACCTTTCTCTCTATAGATCAGTTTTGGAAAGCTCTTTATGTGGAATCTGCAGATGGATATTCGGATAGCTCTGAGGGTTTCGTTGGAGACGGGAATACATAAAGAAAGTAGACAGCAAGCATTCTCAGGAGATTCTTTGTGATGTTTGCTTTTAAGTCACAGAGTTGAATATTCCCTTCAATAGAGCAGGTTTGAAACACTCTTTCTGTAGTATCTGGAAGTGGACATTTCGATCGATTTCAGGCCTATGTTGAAAAAGGAAATACCTTAACATAAAAACTAGACAGAAGCATTCTCAGAAACGTCTTTGTGATGTGTGTCCTCAAATAACAGAGTTCAACCTTTCTTATGATACAGCAGTTTGGAAACACTCTTTTTATAGAATTTGCAAGTTGATACATGGATAGCCCTAACTATTTCGTTGGAAACGGGAATATTCTTCATATAAAGCCTAGACAGAAGCACTCTCAGGAAACTACTTTGTGATATCTGCATTCATATCACAGAGTTGAATATTCCCTTTCTAAGGGCAGGCTTGAAAGCGTCTTTTCGTGGAATCTGCAGGAGGATATTTGGATAGCTTTGAGGATTTCGTTGGAAACGGAATTACATATACAAAGTAGACAGCAGCATTCTCAGAAGCTTCTTTATGATGTTTGCGTTTAAGTCACAGAGTTGAACGTTCCCTTTCATAGAGCAGGTTTCAAACCCTCTTTCTGCAGTATCTGGAAGTGGACATTTCGAGCGCTTTCAGGCCTATGGTGAACAAGGAAATATCTTCCCATGCAAACTAGACAGAAGCATTCGCAGAAACTTGTTTGTGATGTGTGTCCTCAATTCACGGAGTTGAACATTTCGTTTGAGAGAGCAGTTTGGAAACACGATTTTTGTAGAATCTGCAAGTGGATATTTGGATGGCTTTCTGGATTTCGTTGGAAACGGGAGTATCTTCACAGACAACCTAGACAGTAACATTCTCAGAAACGGCTTTGTGATATCCGCATTCACGTCACAGAGTTGAACATTCCCTTTCATAGAGCAGGTTTGAAACACCCTTTCTGAAGTATCTGGATGTGGGCACTTGGAGCTCTTGGACGCTTATGGTGAAAAAGGAAATATCGTCCCATAAAACCTAGACAGAAGCATTCTCACAAACTGCTTTGTGACGTATGTCTTCAACTAACAGAGTAGAACATTTCTATTCACAGAGCAGTTTTGAAAGACTCTTTTGGAGTATCTGCTAGTGGATATTTGGAGAGCTTTAAGGATTTCATTAGAAACCAGAGTATTTCAGGTAAAATCTAGACAGAGGCATTCTCAGAAACTTCTCTGTAATGTGTGTCCTCAACTAACAGTGTACAACCTATCTTTTGATACAGCACGTTGGAAACACTCTTTTTATAGAATCTGCAAGTGGATAGTTGGATAGCTCCAACGATTTCGTTGGAAACGGGAATACCTTCCTATAAAATCTAGACAGTGGCACTCTGAGAAACTGCTTTGTGATATCTGCATTCAAGCCACAGAGTTGACCATTTCCCTTCCTAAAGCAGGTTTGAAACACTCTTTTTGTCGTATCTGGAAGTGGACATTTGGAGCACTTTGACGCCTTTGGTGAAAAAGGAAATGTCTTCCCATCAAAACTAGACAGAAGCATTCTAAGAAACATTTTTGGGATATATGTACTCAACTAACAGAGTTGAACCTTTCTCTTTATAGATCAGTTTTGGAAAGCTCTTTATGTGGAATCTGCAGATGGATATTCGGATAGCTCTGAGGATTTCGTTGGAGACGGGAATACATAAAGAAAGTAGACAGCAGCATTCTCGGGAGATTCTTTGTGATGTTTGCTTTGAAGTCACAGAGTTGAATATTCCCTTCAATAGAGCAGGTTTGAAACACTCTTTCTGTAGTATCTGGAAGTGGACATTTCGATCGATTTCAGGCCTATGTTGAAAAAGGAAATATCTTAACATAAAAACTAGACAGAAGCATTCTCAGAAACGTCTTTGTGATGTGTGTCCTCAAATAACAGAGTTCAACCTTTCTTATGATACAGCAGTTTGGAAACACTCTTTTTATAGAATTTGCAAGTTGATACATGGATAGCCCTAACTATTTCGTTGGAAACGGGAATATCTTCATATAAAGCCTAGACAGAAGCACTCTCAGAAACTACTTTGTGATATCTGCATTGATATCAGAGAGTTGAATATTCCCTGTCTAAGGGCAGGCTTGAAAGCGTCTTTTCGTGGAATCTGCAGGAGGATATTTTGATAGCTTTGAGGGTTACGTTGGAAACCGGATTACATATACAAAGTAGACAGCAGCATTCTCAGAAGCTTCTTTATGATGTTTGCGTTTAAGTCACAGAGGTGAACGTTCCCTTTCATAGAGCAGGTTTCAAACCCTCTTTCTGCAGTATCTGGAAGTGGACATTTCGAGCGCTTTCAGGCCCATGGTGAACAAGGAAATATCTTCCTATGCAAACTAGACAGAAGCATTCGCAGAAACTTGTTTCTGATGTGTGTCCTCAACTCACGGAGTTGAACATTTCGTTTGACAGAGCAGTTCGGAAACACGATTTTTGTAGAATCTTCAAGTGGATATTTGGATGGCTTTGTGGATTTCGTTGGAAACGGGAGTATCTTCATAGACAACCTAGACAGTAACATGCTCAGAAACTGCTTTGTGATATCTGCATTCACGTCACAGAGTTGAACATTCCCTTTCACAGAGCAGGTTTGAAACACACTTTCTGTAGTATCTGGATGTGGGCACTTGGAGCGCTTGGACGCTTATGGTGAAAAAGGACATATCGTCCCATAAAAACTGGACAGAAGCATTCTCACAAACTGCTTTGTGACGTATGTCTTCAACTAACAGAGTTGAACATTTCTATTCACAGAGCAGTTTTGAAAGACTCTTTTGGAGTATCTGCTAGTGGATATTTGGAGAGCTTTAAGGATTTCATTGGAAACCGGAATATCTTCAGGTAAAATCTAGACAGAGGCATTCTCAGAAACTTCTTTGTAATGTGTGTCCTCAACTAACAGTGTACAACCTATCTTTTGATACAGCACGTTGGAAACACTCTTTTTATAGAATCTGCAAGTGGATATTTGGATAGCTCTAATGATTTCGTTGGAAACGGGAATCCCTTCATATAAAATCTAGACAGTGGCACTTTCAGAAACTGCTTTGTGATATCTGCATTCAAGCCACAGAGTTGAACATTTCCCTTCCTAAAGCAGGTTTGAAACACTCTTTTTGTCGTATCTGGAAGTGGACATTTGGAGCACTTTGACGCCTTTGGTGAAAAAGGAAATGTCTTCCCATGAAAACTAGACAGAAGCATTCTAAGAAACATTTTTGGGATATATGTACTCAACTAACAGAGTTGAACCTTTCTCTTTATAGATCAGTTTTGGAAAGCTCTTTATGTGGAATCTGCAGATGGATATTCGGATAGCTCTAAGGATTTCGTTGGAGACGGGAATACATAAAGAAAGTAGACAGCAGCATTCTCGGGAGATTCTTTGTGATGTTTGCTTTTAAGTCACAGAGTTGAATATTCCCTTCAATAGAGCAGGTTTGAAACACTCTTTCTGTAGTATCTGGAAGTGGACATTTCGATCGATTTCAGGCCTATGTTGAAAAAGGAAATACCTTAACATAAAAACTAGACAGAAGCATTCTCAGAAACGTCTTTGTGATGTGTGTCCTCAACTAAGAGAGTTCAACCTTTCTTATGATACAGCAGTTTGGAAACACTCTTTTTATAGAATTTGCAAGTTGATACATGGATAACCCTAACTATTTCGTTGGAAACGGGAATATCTTCATATAAAACATAGGCAGAAGCACTCTCAGAAACTACTTTGTGATATCTGCATTGATATCAGAGAGTTGAATATTCCCTTTCTAAGGGCAGGCTTGAAAGCGTCTTTTCGTGGAATCTGCGGGAGGATATTTGGATAGCTTTGAGGGTTACGTTGGAAACGGGATTACATATACAAAGTAGACAGCAGCATTCTCAGAAGCTTCTTTATGATGTTTGCGTTCAAGTCACAGAGTTGAACGTTCCCTTTCATAGAGCAGGTTTCAAACCCTCTTTCTGCAGTATCTGGAAGTGGACATTTCGAGCGCTTTCAGGCCTATGGTGAACAAGGAAATATCTTCCCATGCAAACTAGACAGAAGCATTCGCAGAAACTTGTTTGTGATGTGTGTCCTCAACTCACAGTAGTTGAACATTTCGTTTGACAGAGCAGTTTGGAAACACGATTTTTGTAGAATCTGCAAGTGGATATTTGGATGGCTTTGTGGATTTCGTTGGAAACGGGAGTATCTTCATAGAAAACCTAGACAGTAACATTCTCAGAAACTGCTTTGTGATATCTGCATTCACGTCACAGAGTTGAACATTCCCTTTCGTAGAGCAGGTTTGAAACACTCTTTCTGTAGTATCTGGATGTGGACACTTGGAGCGCTTGGACGCTTACGGTGAAAAAGGAAATATCTTCCCATAAAAACTAGACAGAAACATTCTCACAAACTGGTTTGTGATGTATGTCCTCAACTAACAGAGTTGAACATTTCTATTTACAGAGCAGTTTTGAAAGACTCTTTTTGGAGAATGTGCAAGTGGATATTTTGAGAGCTTTTAGGATTTCTTTGGAAACCGGAATATCTTCAGGTGAAATCTAGACAGAGGCATTCTCAGAAACTTCTTTGTGATGTGTGTCCTCAACTGACAGACTACAACCTGTCTTTTGATACAGCAGCTTGGAAACACTGTTTTTATAGAATTTGCACCTGGATATATGGATAGCTCTATCTATTTCTTTGGAAACCGGAATATCTTCATATAAAATCTAGACAGAGGCACTCTCAGAAACTGCTTTGTGATATCTGCATTCAAGCCACAGATTTGAAAATTTCCCTTCCTAAAGCAGGTTTGAAACACTCTTTCTGTCATATCTGGAAGTGGACATTTGGAGCACTTTGACGCCTTTGGTGAAAAAGGAAATGTCTTCCCATCAAAACTAGACAGAAGCATTCTAAGAAACATTTTTGGGATATATGTACTCAACTAACAGAGTTGAACCTTTCTCTTTATAGATCAGTTTTGGAAAGCTCTTTATGTGGAATCTGCAGATGGATATTCGGATAGCTCTGAGGGTTTCGTTGGAGACGGGAATACATAAAGAAAGTAGACAGCAGCATTCTCGGGAGATTCTTTGTGATGTTTGCTTTGAAGTCACAGAGTTGAATATTCCCTTCAATAGAGCAGGTTTGAAACACTCTTTCTGTAGTATCTGGAAGTGGACATTTCGATCGATTTCAGGCCTATGTTGAAAAAGGAAATATCTTAACATAAAAACTAGACAGAAGCATTCTCAGAAACGTCTTTGTGATGTGGGTCCTCAACTAACAGAGTTCAACCTTTCTTATGATACAGCAGTTTGGAAACACTCTTTTTATAGAATTTGCAAGTTGATACATGGATAGCCCTAACTATTTCGTTGGAAACGGGAATATCTTCATATAAAACCTAGGCAGAAGCACTCTCAGAAACTACTTTGTGATATCTGCATTGATATCAGAGAGTTGAATATTCCCTTTCTAAGGGCAGGCTTGAAAGCGTCTTTTCGTGGAATCTGCAGGAGGATATTTGGATAGCTTTGAGGGTTACGTTGGAAACGGGATTACATGTACAAAGCAGACAGCAGCATTCTCAGAAGCTTCTTTGTGATGTTTGCGTTTAAGTCACAGAGTTGAACGTTCCCTTTCATAGAGCAGGTTTCAAACCCTCTTTCTGCAGTATCTGGAAGTGGACATTTCGAGCGCTTTCAGGCCTTTGGTGAACAAGGAAATATCTTCCCAAGCAAACTAGACAGAAGCATTCGCAGAAACTTGTTTGTGATGTGTGTCCTCAACTCACAGAGTTGAACATTTCGTTTGACAGAGCAGTTTGGAAACACGATTTTTGTAGAATCTGCAAGTGGATATTTGGATGGCTTTGTGGATTTCGTTGGAAACGGGAGTATCTTCATAGAAAACCTAGACAGTAACATTCTCAGAAACGGCTTTGTGATATCCGCATTCACGTCACAGAGTTGAACATTCCCTTTCATAGAGCAGGTTTGAAACACCCTTTCTGAAGTATCTGGATGTGGGCACTTGGAGCTCTTGGACGCTTATGGTGAAAAAGGAAATATCGTCCCATAAAACCTAGACAGAAGCATTCTCACAAACTGCTTTGTGACGTATGTCTTCAACTAACAGAGTTGAACATTTCTATTCACAGAGCCGTTTTGAAAGACTCTTTTGGAGTATCTGCTAGTGGATATTTGGAGAGCTTTAAGGATTTCATTGGAAACCGGAATATCTTCAGGTAAAATCTAGACAGAGGCATTCTCAGAAACTTCTTCGTAATGTGAGTCCTCAACTAACAGTGTACAACCTATCTTTTGATACAGCACGTTGGAAACACTCTTTTTATAGAATCTGCAAGTGGATAGTTGGATAGCTCTAACGATTTCGTTGGAAACGGGAATACCTTCATATAAAATCTAGACAGTGGCACTCTCAGAAACTGCTTTGTGATATCTGCATTCAAGCCACAGAGTTGGACATTTCCCTTCCTAAAGCAGGTTTGAAACACTCTTTTTGTCGTATCTGGAAGTGGACATTTGGAGCACTTTGACGCCTTTGGTGAAAAAGGAAATGTCTTCCCATCAAAACTAGACAGAAGCATTCTAAGAAACATTTTTGGGATATATATACTCAACTAACAGAGTTGAACCTTTCTCTTTATAGATCAGTTTTGGAAAGCTCTTTATGTGGAATCTGCAGATGGATATTCGGGTAGCTCTGAGGATTTCGTTGGAGACGGGAATACATTAAGAAAGTAGACAGCAGCATTCTCAGGAGATTCTTTCTGATGTTTGCTTCTAAGTCACAGAGTTGAATATTCCCTTCAATAGAGCAAGTTTGAAACACTCTTTCTGTAGTATCTGGAAGTGGACATTTCGATCGATTTCAGGCCTATGTTGAAAAAGGAAATATCTTAACATAAAAACTAGACAGAAGCATTCTCAGAAACGTCGTTGTGATGTGTGTCCTCAACTAACAGAGTTCAACCTTTCTTATGATACGGCAGTTTGGAAACACTCTTTTTATAGAATTTGCAAGTTGATACATGGATAGCCCTAACTATTTCGTTGGAAACGGGAATATCTTCATATAAAACCTAGACAGAAGCTCTCTCAGAAACTACTTTGTGATATCTGCATTGATATCAGAGAGTTGAATATTCCCTTTCTAAGGGCAGGCTTGAAAGCGTCTTTTCGTGGAATCTGCAGGAGGATATTTGGATAGCTTTGAGGGTTACGTTGGAAACGGGATTGCATAAACAAAGTAGACAGCAGCATTCTCAGAAGCTTCTTTGTGATGTTTGCGTTTAAGTCACAGAGTTGAACGTTCCCTTTCATAGAGCAGGTTTCAAACCCTCTTTCTGCAGTATCTGGAAGTGGACATTTCGAGCGCTTTCAGGCCCATGGTGAACAAGGAAATATCTTCCCATGCAAACTAGACAGAAGCATTCCCAGAAACTTGTTTGTGATGTGTGTCCTCAACTCACAGAGTTGAACATTTCGTTTGACAGAGCAGTTTGGAAACACGATTTTTGTAGAATCTGCAAGTGGATATTTGGATGGCTTTGTGGATTTCGTTGGAAACGGGAGTATCTTCATAGAAAACCTAGACAGTAACATTCTCAGAAACGGCTTTGTGATATCCGCATTCACGTCACAGAGTTGAACATTCCCTTTCATAGAGCAGGTTTGAAACACCCTTTCTGAAGTATCTGGATGTGGGCACTTGGAGCTCTTGGACGCTTATGGTGAAAAAGGAAATATCGTCCCATAAAACCTAGACAGAAGCATTCTCACAAACTGCTTTGTGACGTATGTCTTCAACAAACAGAGTTGAACATTTCTATTCACAGAGCAGTTTTGAAAGACTCTTTTGGAGTATCTGCTAGTGGATATTTGGAGAGCTTTAAGGATTTCATTGGAAACCGGAATATCTTCAGGTAAAATCTAGACAGAGGCATTCTCAGAAACTTCTTTGTAATGTCTGTCCTCAATCAACAGTGTACAACCTATCTTTTGATACAGCACATTGGAAACACTCTTTTTATAGAATCTGCAAGTGGATATTTGGATAGCTGTAACGATTTCGTTGGAAACGGGAATACCTTCATATAAAATCTAGACAGTGGCACTCGTAGAAACTGCTTTGTGATATCTGCATTCAAACCACAGAGTTGAACATTTCCCTTCCTAAAGCAGGTTTGAAACACTCTTTC
Source organism: Homo sapiens (assembly GCF_000001405.40). Lineage (NCBI taxonomy): Eukaryota > Metazoa > Chordata > Mammalia > Primates > Hominidae > Homo > Homo sapiens. The sequence goes on from NC_000018.10 coordinate 15,728,893, forward strand.
TGTCGTATCTGGAAGTGGACATTTGGAGCACTTTGACGCCTTTGGTGAAAAAGGAAATGTCTTCCCATCAAAACTAGACAGAAGCATTCTAAGAAACATTTTTGGGATATATGTACTCAACTAACAGAGTTCAACCTTTCTCTTTATATATCAGTTTTGGAAAGCTCTTTATGTGGAATCTGCAGATGGATATTCGGATAGCTCTGAGGATTTCGTTGGAGACGGGAATACATAAAGAAAGTAGACAGCAGCATTCTCAGGAGATACTTTGTGATGTTTGCTTTTAAGTCACAGAGTTGAATATTCCCTTCAATAGAGCAGGTTTGAAACACTCATTCTGTAGTATCTGGAAGTGGACATTTCGATCGATTTCAGGTCTATGTTGAAAAAGGAAATACCTTAACATAAAAACTAGACAGAAGCATTCTCAGAAACGTCTTTGTGATGTGTGTCCTCAACTAACAGAGTTCAACCTTTCTTATGATACAGCAGTTGGGAAACACTCTTTTTATAGAATTTGCAAGTTGATACATGGATAGCCCTAACTATTTCGTTGGAAACGGGAATATCTTCACATAAAACCTAGACAGAAGCACTCTCAGAAACTACTTTGTGATATCTGCATTGATATCAGAGAGTTGAATATTCCCTTTCTAAGGGCAGGCTTGAAAGCGTCTTTTCGTGGAATCTGCAGGAGGATATTTGGATAGCTTTGAGGGTTACGTTGGAAACGGGATTACATGTACAAAGCAGACAGCAGCATTCTCAGAAGCTTCTTTGTGATGTTTCCGTTTAAGTCACAGAGTTGAACGTTCCCTTTCATAGAGCAGGTTTCAAACCCTATTTCTGCAGTATATGGAAGTGGACATTTCGAGCACTTTCAGGCCTATGGTGAACAAGGAAATATCTTCCCAAGCAAACTAGACAGAAGCATTCGCAGAAACTTGTTTGTGATGTGTGTCCTCAACTCACGGAGTTGAACATTTCGTTTGACAGAGCAGTTTGGAAACACGATTTTTGTAGAATCTGCAAGTGGATATTTGGATGGCTTTGTGGATTTCGTTGGAAACGGGAGTATCTTCACAGACAACCTAGACAGTAACATGCTCAGAAACTGCTTTGTGATATCTGCATTCACGTCACAGAGTTGAACATTCCCTTTCATAGAGCAGGTTTGAAACACACTTTCTGTAGTATCTGGATGTGGGCACTTGGAGCGCTTGGACGCTTATGGTGAAAAAGGACATATCGTCCCATAAAAACTGGACAGAAGCATTCTCACAAACTGGTTTGTGATGTATGTCCTCAACTAACAGAGTTGAACATTCCTATTTACAGAGCAGTTTTGAAAGACACTTTTTGGAGAATCTGCAAATGGATATTTGGAGAGCTTTAAGGATTTCATTGGAAACCGGAATATCTTCAGGTGCAATCTAGACAGAGGCATTCTCAGAAACTTCTTTGTGATGTGTGTCCTCAACTGACAGAGTACAACCTGTCTTTTGATACAGCAGTTTGAAAACACTCTTTTTGTAGAATCTGCAAGTGGATATTTGGATAGCTCTAACAATTTAATTGGAAACGGGAATAACTTCATATAAAATCTAGACAGTGGCACTCTCAGAAACTGCTTTGTGATATCTGCATTCAAGCCACAGAGTTGAACATTTCCCTTCCTAAAGCAGGTTTGAAACACTCTTTTTGTCGTATCTGGAAGTGGACATTTGGAGCACTTTGACGCCTTTGGTGAAAAAGGAAATGTCTTCCCATGAAAACTAGACAGAAGCATTCTAAGAAACATTTTTGGGATATATGTACTCAACTAACAGATTTGAACCTTCCTCTTTATAGATCAGTTTTGGAAAGCTCTTTACGTGGAATCTGCAAGTGGATATTCGGATAGATCTGAGGATTTCGCTGGAGACGGGAATACATAAAGAAAGTAGACAGCAGCATTCTCGGGAGATTCTTTGTGATGTTTGCTTTTAAGTCACAGAGTTGAATATTCCCTTCAATAGAGCAGGTTTGAAACACTCTTTCTGTGGTATCTGGAAGTGGACATTTCGATCGATTTCAGGCCTATGTTGAAAAAGGAAATATCTTAACATAAAAACTAGACAGAAGCATTCTCAGAAACGTCTTTGTGATGTGTGTCCTCAACTAACAGAGTACAACCTTTCTTATGATACAGCAGTTTGGAAACACTCTTTTTATAGAATTTGCAAGTTGATACATGGATAGCCCTAACTATTTCGTTGGAAACGGGAATATCTTCATATAAAACCTAGACAGAAGCACTCTCAGAAACTACTTTGTGATATCTGCATTGATATCAGAGAGTTGAATATTCCCTTTCTAAGGGAAGGCTTGAAAGCGTCTTTTCGTGGAATCTGCAGGAGGATATTTGGATAGCTTTGAGGGTTACGTTGGAAACGGGATTACATATACAAAGTAGACAGCAGCATTCTCAGAAGCTTCTTTATGATGTTTGCGTTCAAGTCACACAGTTGAACGTTCCCTTTCATAGAGCAGGTTTCAAACCCTCTTTCTGCAGTATCTGGAAGTGGACATTTCGAGCGCTTTCAGGCCTATGGTGAACAAGGAAATATCTTCCCATGCAAACTAGACAGAAGCATTCGCAGAAACTTGTTTGGGATGTGTGTCCTCAACTCACAGAGTTGAACATTTCGTTTGACAGAGCAGTTTGGAAACACGATTTTTGTAGAATCTGCAAGTGGATATTTGGATGGCTTTGTGCATTTCGTTGGAAACGGGAGTATCTTCATAGAAAACGTAGACAGTAACATTCTCAGAAACGGCTTTGTGATATCTGCATTCACGTCACAGAGTTGAACATTCCCTTTCATAGAGCAGGTTTGAAACACACTTTCTGTAGTATCTGGATGTGGGCACTTGGAGCGCTTGGACGCTTATGGTGAAAAAGGACATATCGTCCCATAAAAACTGGACAGAAGCATTCTCACAAACTGCTTTGTGACGTATGTCTTCAACTAACAGAGTTGAACATTTCTATTCACAGAGCAGTTTTGAAAGACTCTTTTGGAGTATCTGCTAGTGGATATTTGGAGAGCTTTAAGGATTTCATTGGAAACCGGAATATCTTCAGGTAAAATCTAGACAGAGGCATTCTCAGAAACTTCTTTGTAATGTGTGTCCTCAACTAACAGTGTACAACCTATCTTTTGATACAGCACGTTGGAAACACTCTTTTTATAGAATCTGCAAGTGGATATTTGGATAGCTCTAACGATTTCGTTGGAAACGGGAATACCTTCATATAAAATCTAGACAGTGGCACTCTCAGAAACTGCTTTGTGATATCTGCATTCAAGCCACAGAGTTGAACATTTCCCTTCCTAAAGCAGGTTTGAAACACTCGTTTTGTCGTATCTGGAAGTGGACATTTGGAGCACTTTGACGCTTTTGGTGAAAAAGGAAATGTCCTCCCGTCAAAACTAGACAGAAGCATTCTAAGAAACATTTTTGGGATATATGTACTCAACTAACAGAGTTGAAGCTTTCTCTTTATAGATCAGTTTTGGAAAGCTCTTTATGTGGAATCTGCAGATGGATATTCGGATAGCTCTGAGGATTTCGTTGGAGACGGGAATACATAAACAATCTAGACAGCAGCATTCTCAGGAGATTCTTTGTGATGTTTGCTTTTAAGTCACAGAGTTGAATATTCCCTTCAATAGAGCAGGTTTGAAACACTCTTTCTGTAGTATCTGGAAGTGGACATTTCGATCGATTTCAGGCCTATGTTGAAAAAGGAAATACCTTAACATAAAAACTAGACAGAAGCATTCTCAGAAACGTCTTTGTGATGTGTGTCCTCAACTAACAGAGTTCAACCTTTCTTATGATACAGCAGTTGGGAAACACTCTTTTTATAGAATTTGCAAGTTGATACATGGATAGCCCTAACTATTTCGTTGGAAACGGGAATATCTTCACATAAAACCTAGACAGAAGCACTCTCAGAAACTACTTTGTGATATCTGCATTGATATCAGAGAGTTGAATATTCCCTTTCTAAGGGCAGGCTTGAAAGCGTCTTTTCGTGGAATCTGCAGGAGGATATTTGGATAGCTTTGAGGGTTACGTTGGAAACGGGATTACATGTACAAAGCAGACAGCCAGCATTCTCAGAGCTTCTTTGTGATGTTTGCGTTTAAGTCACAGAGTTGAACGTTCCCTTTCATAGAGCAGGTTTCAAACCCTCTTTCTGCAGTATCTGGAAGTGGACATTTCGAGCGCTTTCAGGCCCATGGTGAACAAGGAAATATCTTCCCATGCAAACTAGACAGAGCATTCGCAGAAACTTGTTTGTGATGTGTGTCCTCAACTCACGGAGTTGAACATTTCGTTTGACAGAGCAGTTTGGAAACACGATTTTTGTAGAATCTGCAAGTGGATATTTGGATGGCTTTGTGGATTTCGTTGGAAACGGGAGTATCTTCATAGACAACCTAGACAGTAACATTCTCAGAAACGGCTTTGTGATATCCGCATTCACGTCACAGAGTTGAACATTCCCTTTCATAGAGCAGGTTTGAAACACCCTTTCTGAAGTATCTGGATGTGGGCACTTGGAGCTCTTGGACGCTTATGGTGAAAAAGGAAATATCGTCCCATAAAACCTAGACAGAAGCATTCTCACAAACTGCTTTGTGATGTATGTCTTCAACTAACAGAGTTGAACATTTCTATTCACAGAGCAGTTTTGAAAGAATCTTTTGGAGTATCTGCTAGTGGATATTTGGAGAGCTTTAAGGATTTCATTGGAAACCGGAATATCTTCAGGTAAAATCTAGACAGAGGCATTCTCAGAAACTTCTTTGTAATGTGTGTCCTCAACTAACAGTGTACAACCTATCTTTTGATACAGCACGTTGGAAACACTCTTTTTATAGAATCTGCAAGTGGATATTTGGATAGCTCTAACGATTTCGTTGGAAACGGGAATACCTTCATATAAAATCTAGACAGTGGCACTCTCAGAAACTGCTTTGTGATATCTGCATTCAAGCCACAGAGTTGGACATTTCCCTTCCTAAAGCAGGTTTGAAACACTCTTTTTGTCGTATCTGGAAGTGGACATTTGGAGCACTTTGACGCCTTTGGTGAAAAAGGAAATGTCTTCCCATCAAAACTAGACAGAAGCATTCTAAGAAACATTTTTGGGATATATGTACTCAACTAACAGAGTTCAACCTTTCTCTTTATATATCAGTTTTGGAAAGCTCTTTATGTGGAATCTGCAGATGGATATTCGGATAGCTCTGAGGATTTCGTTGGAGACGGGAATACATAAAGAAAGTAGACAGCAGCATTCTCAGGAGATCCTTTGTGATGTTTGCTTTTAAGTCACAGAGTTGAATATTCCCTTCAATAGAGCATGTTTGAAACACTCTTTCTGTAGTATCTGGAAGTGGACATTTCGATGGATTTCAGGCCTATGTTGAAAAAGGAAATACCTTAACATAAAAACTAGACAGAAGCATTCTCAGAAACGTCTTTGTGATGTGTGTCCTCAACTAACAGAGTTCAACCTTTCTTATGATACAGCAGTTTGGAAACACTCTTTTTATAGAATTTGCAAGTTGATACATGGATAGCCCTAACTATTTCGTTGGAAACGGGAATATCTTCATATAAAACCTAGGCAGAAGCACTCTCAGAAACTAATTTGTGATATCTGCATTGATATCAGAGAGTTGAATATTCCCTTTCTAAGAGCAGGCTTGAAAGCGTCTTTTCGAGGAATCTGCAGGAGGACATTTCGATAGCTTTGAGGGTTATGTTGGAAACGGGATTACATATACAAAGTAGACAGCAGCATTCTCAGAAGCTTCTTTGTGATGTTTGCGTTTAAGTCACAGAGTTGAACGTTCCCTTTCATAGAGCAGGTTTCAAACCCTCTTTCTGCAGTATCTGGAAGTGGACATTTCGAGCGCTTTCAGGCCCATGGTGAACAAGGAAATATCTTCCCATGCAAACTAGACAGAAGCATTCGCAGAAACTTGTTTGTGATGTGTGTCCTCAACTCACAGAGTTGAACATTTCGTTTGACAGAGCAGTTTGGAAACACGATTTTTGTAGAATCTGCAAGTGGATATTTGGATGGCTTTGTGGATTTCGTTGGAAACGGGAGTATCTTCATAGACAACCTAGACAGTAACATGCTCAGAAACGGCTTTGTGATATCTGCATTCACGTCACAGAGTTGAACATTCCCTTTCATAGAGCAGGTTTGAAACACACTTTCTGTAGTATCTGGATGTGGGCACTTGGAGCGCTTGGACGCTTATGGTGAAAAAGGACATATCGTTCCATAAAAACTGGACAGAAGCATTCTCACAAACTGCTTTGTGACGTATGTCTTCAACTAACAGAGTTGAACATTTCTATTCACAGAGCAGTTTTGAAAGACTCTTTTGGAGTATCTGCTAGTGGATATTTGGAGAGCTTTAAGGATTTCATTGGAAACCGGAATATCTTCAGGTAAAATCTAGACAGAGGCATTCTCAGAAACTTCTTTGTCATGTGTGTCCTCAACTAACAGTGTACAACCTATCTTTTGATACAGCACGTTGGAAACACTCTTTTTATAGAATCTGCAAGTGGATAGTTGGATAGCTCTAACGATTTCGTTGGAAACGGGAATACCTTCATATGAAATCTAGACAGTGGCACTCTCAGAAACTGCTTTGTGATATCTGCATTCAAGCCACAGAGTTGAACATTTCCCTTCCTAAAGCAGGTTTGAAACACTCTTTCTGTCGTATCTGGAAGTGGACATTTGGAGCACTTTGACGCCTTTGGTGAAAAAGGAAATGTCTTCCCATCAAAACTAGACAGAAGCATTCTAAGAAACATTTTTGGGATATATGTACTCAACTAACAGAGTTGAACCTTTCTCTTTATAGATCAGTTTTGGAAAGCTCTTTATGTGGAATCTGCAGATGGATATTCGGATAGCTCTGAGGATTTCGTTGGAGACGGGAATACATAAAGAAAGTAGACAGCAGCAATCTCAGGAGATTCTTTGTGATGTTTGCTTTTAAGTCACAGAGTTGAATATTCCCTTCAATAGAGCAGGTTTGAAACACTCTTTCTGTAGTATCTGGAAGTGGACATTTCGATCGATTTCAGGCCTATGTTGAAAAAGGAAATACCTTAACATAAAAACTAGACAGAAGCATTCTCAGAAACGTCTTTGTGATGTGTGTCCTCAACTAACAGAGTTCAACCTTTCTTATGATACAGCAGTTTGGAAACACTCTTTTTATAGAATTTGCAAGTTGATACATGGATAGCCCTAACTATTTCGTTGGAAACGGGAATATCTTCATATAAAACCTAGGCAGAAGCATTCTCAGAAACTACTTTGTGATATCTGCATTGATATCAGAGAGTTGAATATTCCCTTTCTAAGGGCAGGCTTGAAAGCGTCTTTTCGTGGAATCTGCAGGAGGATATTTGGATAGCTTTGAGGGTTACGTTGGAAACGAGATTACATATACAAAGTAGACAGCAGCATTCTCAGAAGCTTCTTTGTGATGTTTGCGTTTAAGTCACAGAGTTGAACGTTCCCTTTCATAGAGCAGGTTTCAAACCCTCTTTCTGCAGTATCTGGAAGTGGACATTTCGAGCGCTTTCAGGCCCATGGTGAACAAGGAAATATCTTCCCATGCAAACTAGACAGAAGCATTCGCAGAAACTTCTTTGTGATGTGTGTCCTCAACTCACAGAGTTGAACATTTCGTTTGACAGAGCAGTTTGGAAACACGATTTTTGTAGAATCTGCAAGTGGATATTTGGATGGCTTTGTGGATTTTGTTGGAAACGGGAGTATCTTCATAGACAACCTAGACAGTAACATGCTCAGAAACTGCTTTGTGATATCTGCATTCACGTCACAGAGTTGAACATTCCCTTTCATAGAGCAGGTTTGAAACACACTTTCTGTAGCATCTGGATGTGGGCACTTGGAGCGCTTGGACGCTTATGGTGAAAAAGGACAGATCGTCCCATAAAAACTGGACAGAAGCATTCTCACAAACTGCTTTGTGACGTATGTCTTCAACTAACAGAGTTGAACATTTCTATTCACAGAGCAGTTTTGAAAGACTCTTTTGGAGTATCTGCTAGTGGATATTTGGAGAGCTTTAAGGATTTCATTGGAAACCGGAATATCTTCAGGTAAAATCTAGACAGAGGCATTCTCAGAAACTTCTTTGTAATGTGTGTCCTCAACTAACAGTGTACAACCTATCTTTTGATACAGCACGTTGGAAACACTCTTTTTATAGAATCTGCAAGTGGATATTTGGATAGCTCTAACGATTTCGTTGGAAACGGGAATACCTTCATATAAAATCTAGACAGTTTCACTCTCAGAAACTGCTTTGTGATATCTGCATTCAAGCCACAGAGTTGAACATTTCCCTTCCTAAAGCAGGTTTGAAACACTCGTTTTGTCGTATCTGGAAGTGGACATTTGGAGCACTTTGACGCCTTTGGTGAAAAAGGAAATGTCTTCCCCTCAAAACTAGACAGAAGCTTTCTAAGAAACATTTTTGGGATATATGTACTCAACTAACAGAGTTGAACCTTTCTCTTTATAGATCAGTTTTGGAAAGCTCTTTATGTGGAATCTGCAGATGGATATTCGGATAGCTCTGAGGATTTCGTTGGAGACGGGAATACATAAAGAAAGTAGACAGCAGCAATCTCAGGAGATTCTTTGTGATGTTTGCTTTTAAGTCACAGAGTTGAATATTCCCTTCAATAGAGCAGGTTTGAAACACTCTTTCTGTAGTATCTGGAAGTGGACATTTCGATCGATTTCAGGCCTATGTTGAAAAAGGAAATACCTTAACATAAAAACTAGACAGAAGCATTCTCAGAAACGTCTTTGTGATGTGTGTCCTCAACTAACAGAGTTCAACCTTTCTTATGATACAGCAGTTGGGAAACACTCTTTTTATAGAATTTGCAAGCTGATACATGGATAGCCCTAACTATTTCGTTGGAAACGGGAATATCTTCACATAAAACCTAGACAGAAGCACTCTCAGAAACTACTTTGTGATATCTGCATTGATATCAGAGAGTTGAATATTCCCTTTCTAAGGGAAGGCTTGAAAGCGTCTTTTCGTGGAATCTGCGGGAGGATATTTGGATAGCTTGGAGGGTTACGTTGGAAACGGGATTACATAAACAAAGTAGACAGCAGCATTCTCAGAAGCTTCTTTGTGATGTTTGCGTTTAAGTCACAGAGTTGAACGTTCCCTTTCATAGAGCAGGTTTCAAACCCTCTTTCTGCAGTATCTGGAAGTGGACATTTCGAGCGCTTTCAGGCCCGTGGTGAACAAGGAAATATCTTCCCATGCAAACTAGACAGAAGCATTCGCAGAAACTTGTTTGTGATGTGTGTCCTCAACTCACGGAGTTGAACATTTCGTTTGACAGAGCAGTTTGGAAACACGATTTTTGTAGAATCTGCAAGTGGATATTTGGATGGCTTTGTGGATTTCGTTGGAAACGGGAGTATCTTCACAGACAACCTAGACAGTAACATTCTCAGAAACGGCTTTGTGATATCCGCATTCACGTCACAGAGTTGAACATTCCCTTTCATAGAGCAGGTTTGAAACACCCTTTCTGTAGTATCTGGATGTGGGCACTTGGAGCTCTTGGACGCTTATGGTGAAAAAGGAAATATCGTCCCATAAAACCTAGACAGAAGCATTCTCACAAACTGCTTTGTGACGTATGTCGTCAGCTAACAGAGTTGAGCATTTCTATTCACAGAGCAGTTTTGAAAGACTCTTTTGGAGTATCTGCTAGTGGATATGTGGAGAGCTTTAAGGATTTCACTGGAAACCGGAATATCTTCAGGTAAAATCTAGACAGAGGCATTCTCAGAAACTTCTTTGTAATGTGTGTCCTCAACTAACAGTGTACAACCTATCTTTTGATACAGCACGTTGGAAACACTCTTTTTATAGAATCTGCAAGTGGATATTTGGATAGCTCTAACGATTTCGTTGGAAACGGGAATACCTTCATATAAAATCTAGACAGTGGCACTCTCAGAAACTGCTTTGTGATATCTGCATTCAAGCCACAGGAGTTGAACATTTCCCTTCCTAAAGCAGGTTTGAAACACTCGTTTTGTCGTATCTGGAAGTGGACATTTGGAGCACGTTGACACCTTTGGTGAAAAAGGAAATGTCTTCCCGTCAAAACTAGACAGAAGCATTCTAAGAAACATTTTTGGGATATATGTACTCAACTAACAGAGTTGAACCTTTCTCTTTATAGATCAGTTTTGGAAAGCTCTTTATGTGGAATCTGCAGATGGATATTCGGATAGCTCTGAGGATTTCGTTGGAGACGGGAATACATAAAGAAAGTAGACAGCAGCATTCTCAGGAGATACTTTGTGATGTTTGCTTTTAAGTCACAGAGTTGAATATTCCCTTCAATAGAGCAGGTTTGAAACACTCTTTCTGTAGTATCTGGAAGTGGACATTTCGATCGATTTCAGGCCTATGTTGAAAAAGGAAATACCTTAACATCAAAACTAGACAGAAGCATTCTCAGAAATGTCTTTGTGATGTGTGTCCTCAACTAACAGAGTTCAACCTTTCTTATGATACAGCAGTTTGGAAACACTCTTTTTATAGCGTTTGCAAGTTGATACATGGATAGCCTTAACTATTTCGTTGGAAACGGGAATATCTTCATATAAAACCTAGACAGAGGAACTCTCAGAAACTGCTTTGTGATATCTGCATTGATGTCAGAGAGTTGAATATTCCCTTTCTAAGGGAAGGCTTGAAAGCGTCTTTTCGTGGAATCTGCGGGAGGATATTTGGATAGCTTTGAGTGTTACGTTGGAAACGGGATTACATATACAAAGTAGACAGCAGCATTCTCAGAAGCTTCTTTATGATGTTTGCGTTTAAGTCACAGAGTTGAACGTTCCCTTTCATAGAGCAGGTTTCAAAACCTCTTTCTGCAGTATCTGGAAGTGGACATTTCGAGCGCTTTCAGGCCCATGGTGAACAAGGAAATATCTTCCCATGCAAACTAGACAGAAGCATTCGCAGAAACTTGTTTGTGATGTGTGTCCTCAACTCACGGAGTTGAACATTTCGTTTGACAGAGCAGTTTGGAAACACGATGTTTGTAGAATCTGCAAGTGGATATTTGGATGGCTTTGTGGATTTCGTTGGAAACGGGAGTATCTTCATAGACAACCTAGACAGTAACATTCTCAGAAACGGCTTTGTGATATCCGCATTCACGTCACAGAGTTGAACATTCCCTTTCATAGAGCAGGTTTGAAACACCCTTTCTGTAGTATCTGGATGTGGGCACTTGGAGCTCTTGGACGCTTATGGTGAAAAAGGAAATATCGTCCCATAAAACCTAGACAGAAGCATTCTCACAAACTGCTTTGTGACGTATGTCTTCAACTAACAGAGTTGAACATTTCTATTCACAGAGCAGTTTTGAAAGACTCTTTTGGAGTATCTGCTAGTGGATATTTGGAGAGCTTTAAGGATTTCATTGGAAACCGAATATCTTCAGGTAAAATCTAGACAGAGGCATTCTCAGAAACTTCTTCGTAATGTGTGCCCTCAACTAACAGTGTACAACCTATCTTTTGATACAGCACGTTGGAAACACTCTTTTTATAGAATCTGCAAGCGGATAGTTGGATAGCTCTAACGATTTCGTTGGAAACGGGAATATCTTCATATAAAATCTAGACAGTGGCACTCTCAGAAACTGCTTTGTGATATCTGCATTCAAGCCACAGAGTTGGACATTTCCCTTCCTAAAGCAGGTTTGAAACACTCTTTTTGTCGTATCTGGAAGTGGACATTTGGAGCACTTTGACGCCTTTGGTGAAAAAGGAAATGTCTTCCCATCAAAACTAGACAGAAGCATTCTAAGAAACTTTTTTGGGATATATGTACTCAACTAACAGAGTTCAACCTTTCTCTTTATATATCAGTTTTGGAAAGCTCTTTATGTGGAATCTGCAGATGGATATTCGGATAGCTCTGAGGATTTCGTTGGAGACGGGAATACATAAAGAAAGTAGACAGCAGCATTCTCAGGAGATTCTTTGTGATGTTTGCTTTTAAGTCACAGAGTTGAATATTCCCTTCAATAGAGCAGGTTTGAAACACTCTTTCTGTAGTATCTGGAAGTGGACATTTCGATCGATTTCAGGCCTATGTTGAAAAAGGAAATATCTCTACATAAAAACTAGACAGAAGCATTCTCAGAAACGTCTTTGTGATGTGTGTCCTCAACTAACAGAGTTCAACCTTTCTTATGATACAGCAGTTGGGAAACACTCTTTTTATAGAATTTGCAAGTTGATACATGGATAACCCTAACTATTTCGTTGGAAACGGGAATATCTTCACATAAAACCTAGACAGAAGCACTCTCAGAAACTACTTTGTGATATCTGCATTGATATCAGAGAGTTGAATATTCCCCTTCTAAGGGCAGGCTTGAAAGCGTCTTTTCGTGGAATCTGCAGGAGGATATTTGGATAGCTTTGAGGGTTACGTTGGAAACGGGATTACATGTACAAAGCAGACAGCAGCATTCTCAGAAGCTGCTTTATGATGTTTGCTTTCAAGTCACAGAGTTGAACGTTCCCTTTCATAGAGCAGGTTTCAAACCCTCTTTCTGCAGTATCTGGAAGTGGACATTTCGAGCGCTGTCAGGCCTATGGTGAACAAGGAAATATCTTCCCATGCAAACTAGACAGAAGCATTCGCAGAAACTTGTTTGTGATGTGTGTCCTCAACTCACAGAGTTGAACATTTCGTTTGACAGAGCAGTTTGGAAACACGATTTTTGTAGAATCTGCAAGTGGATATTTGGATGGCTTTGTGGATTTCGTTGGAAACGGGAGTATCTTCATAGAAAACCTAGACAGTAACATGCTCAGAAACTGCTTTGTGATATCTGCATTCACGTCACAGAGTTGAACATTCCCTTTCATAGAGCAGGTTTGAAACACACTTTCTGTAGTATCTGGATGTGGGCACTTGGAGCGCTTGGACGCTTATGGTGAAAAAGGACATATCGTCCCATAAAAACTGGACAGAAGCATTCTCACAAACTGCTTTGTGACGTATGTCTTCAACTAACAGAGTTGAACATTTCTATTCACAGAGCAGTTTTGAAAGACTCTTTTGGAGTATCTGCTAGTGGATATTTGGAGAGCTTTAAGGATTTCATTGGAAACCGGAATATCTTCAGGTAAAATCTAGACAGAGGCATTCTCAGAAATTTCTTTGTAATGTGTGTCCTCAACTAACAGTGTACAACCTATCTTTTGATACAGCACGTTGGAAACACTCTTTTTATAGAATCTGCAAGTGGATAGTTGGATAGGTCTAACGATTTCGTTGGAAACGGGAATACCTTCATATAAAATCTAGACAGTGGCACTCTCAGAAACTGCTTTGTGATATCTGCATTCAAGCCACAGAGTTGAACATTTCCCTTCCTAAAGCAGGTTTCAAACACTCTTTTTGTCGTATCTGGAAGTGGACATTTGGAGCACTTTGACGCCTTTGGTGAAAAAGGAAATGTCTTCCCATGAAAACTAGACAGAAGCATTCTAAGAAACATTTTTGGGATATATGTACTCAACTAACAGAGTTCAACCTTTCTCTTTATAGATCAGTTTTGGAAAGCTCTTTATGTGGAATCTGCAGATGGATATTCGGATAGCTCTGAGGATTTCGTTGGAGACGGGAATACATAAAGAAAGTAGACAGCAGCATTCTCAGGAGATTCTTTGTGATGTTTGCTTTTAAGTCACAGAGTTGAATATTCCCTTCAATAGAGCAGGTTTGAAACACTCTTTCTGTAGTATCTGGAAGTGGACATTTCGATCGATTTCAGGCCTATGTTGAAAAAGGAAATACCTTAACATAAAAACTAGACAGAAACATTCTCAGAAACGTCTTTGTGATGTGTGTCCTCAACTAACAGAGTTCAACCTTTCTTATGATACAGCAGTTTGGAAACACTCTTTTTATAGAATTTGCAAGTTGATACATGGATAGCCCTAACTATTTCGTTGGAAACGGGAATATCTTCATATAAAACCTAGGCAGAAGCACTCTCAGAAACTACTTTGTGATATCTGCATTGATATCAGAGAGTTGAATATTCCCTTTCTAAGGTCAGGCTTGAAAGCGTCTTTTTGTGGAATCTGCAGGAGGATATTTGGATAGCTTGGAGGGTTACGTTGGAAACGGGATTACATATACAAAGTAGACAGCAGCATTCTCAGAAGCTTCTTTGTGATGTTTGCGTTTAAGTCACAGAGTTGAACGTTCCCTTTCGTAGAGCAGGTTTCAAACCCTCTTTCTGCAGTATCTAGAAGTGGACATTTCGAGCGCTTTCAGGCCCATGGTGAACAAGGAAATATCTTCCCATGCAAACTAGACAGAAGCATTCGCAGAAACTTGATTGTGATGTGTGTCCTCAACTCACGGAGTTGAACATTTCGTTTGACAGAGCAGTTTGGAAACACGATTTTTGTAGAATCTGCAAGTGGATATTTGGATGGCTTTGTGGATTTCGTTGGAAACGGGAGTATCTTCACAGACAACCTAGACAGTAACATTCTCAGAAACGGCTTTGTGATATCCGTATTCACGTCACAGAGTTGAACATTCCCTTTCATAGAGCAGGTTTGAAACACACTTTCTGTAGTATTTGGATGTGGGCACTTGGAGCGCTTCGACGCTTATGGTGAAAAAGGAAATATCGTCAAATAAAAACTAGACAGAAGCATTCTCACAAACTGCTTTGAGACGTATGTCGTCAGCTAACAGAGTTGAACATTTCTATTCACAGAGCAGTTTTGAAAGACTCTTTTGGAGTATCTGCTAGTGGATATTTGGGAGAGCTTTAAGGATTTCACCGGAAACCGGAATATCTTCAGGTAAAATCTAGACAGAGGCATTCTCAGAAACTTCTTCGTAATGTGTGTCCTCAACTAACAGTGTACAACCTATCTTTTGATACAGCACGTTGGAAACACTCTTTTTATAGAATCTGCAAGTGGATAGTTGGATAGCTCTAACGATTTCGTTGGAAACGGGAATACCTTCATATAAAATCTAGACAGTGGCACTCGCAGAAACTGCTTTGTGATATCTGCATTCAAGCCACAGAGTTGAACATTTCCCTTCCTAAAGCAGGTTTGAAACACTCTTTCTGTCGTATCTGGAAGTGGACATTTGGAGCACTTTGACGCCTTTGGTGAAAAAGGAAATGTCTTCCCATCAAAACTAGACAGAAGCATTCTAAGAAACATTTTTGGGATATATGTACTCAACTAACGGAGTTGAACCTTTCTCTCTATAGATCAGTTTTGGAAAGCTCTTTATGTGGAATCTGCAGATGGATATTCGGATAGCTCTGAGGGTTTCGTTGGAGACGGGAATACATAAAGAAAGTAGACAGCAGCATTCTCGGGAGATTCTTTGTGATGTTTGCTTTTAAGTCACAGAGTTGAATATTCCCTTCAATAGAGCAGGTTTGAAACACTCTTTCTGTAGTATCTGGAAGTGGACATTTCGATCGATTTCAGGCCTATGTTGAAAAAGGATATATCGTAACATAAAAACTAGACAGAAGCATTCTCAGAAACGTCTTTGTGATGTGTGTCCTCAACTAACAGAGTTCAACCTTTCTTATGATACAGCAGTTTGGAAACACTGTTTTTATAGAATTTGCAAGTTGATACATGGATAGCCCTAACTATTTCGTTGGAAACGGGAATATCTTCATATAAAACCTAGACAGAAGCACTCTCAGAAACTACTTTGTGATATCTGCATTGATATCAGAGAGTTGAATATTCCCTTTCTAAGGGCAGGCTTGAAAGCGTCTTTTCGTGGAATCTGCAGGAGGATATTTGGATAGCTTTGAGGGTTACGTTGGAAACGGGATTACATGTACAAAGCAGACAGCAGCATTCTCAGAAGCTTCTTTATGATGTTTGCGTTCAAGTCACAGAGTTGAACGTTCCCTTTCATAGAGCAGGTTTCAAACCCTCTTTCTGCAGTATCCGGAAGTGGACATTTCGAGCGCTTTCAGGCCTACGGTGAACAAGGAAATATCTTCCCATGCAAACTAGACAGAAGCATTCGCAGAAACTTGTTTGTGATGTGTGTCCTCAACTCACGGAGTTGAACATTTCGTTTGACAGAGCAGTTTGGAAACACGATTTTTGTAGAATCTGCAAGTGGATATTTGGATGGCTTTGTGGATTTCGTTGGAAACGGGAGTATCTTCATAGACAACCTAGACAGTAACATGCTCAGAAACTGCTTTGTGATATCTGCATTCACGTCACAGAGTTGAACATTCCCTTTCATAGAGCAGGTTTGAAACACACTTTCTGTAGTATCTGGATGTGGGCACTTGGAGCGCTTGGACGCTTATGGTGAAAAAGGCCATATCGTCCCATAAAAACTGGACAGAAGCATTCTCACAAACTGGTTTGTGATGTATGTCCTCAAATAACAGAGTTGAACATTTCAATTTACAGAGCAGTTTTGAAAGACTCTTTTTGGAGAATCTGCAAGTGGATATTTGGAGAGCTTAAGGGATTTCATTGGAAACCGGAATATCTTCAGGTGAAATCGGGACAGAGGCATTCTCAGAAACTTCTCTGTAATGTGTGTCCTCAACTAACAGTGTACAACCTATCTTTTGATACAGCACGTTGGAAACACTCTTTTTATAGAATCTGCAAGTGGATAGTTGGATAGCTCCAACGATTTCGTTGGAAACGGGAATACCTTCCTATAAAATCTAGACAGTGGCACTCTCAGAAACTGCTTTGTGATATCTGCATTCAAGCCACAGAGTTGAACATTTCCCTTCCTAAAGCAGGTTTGAAACACTCTTTTTGTCGTATCTGGAAGTGGACATTTGGAGCACTTTGACGCCTTTGGTGAAAAAGGAAATGTCTTCCCATGAAAACTAGACAGAAGCATTCTAAGAAACATTTTTGGGATATATGTACTCAACTAACAGAGTTGAACCTTTCTCTTTATAGATCAGTTTTGGAAAGCTCTTTATGTGGAATCTGCAGATGGATATTCGGATAGCTCTGAGGATTTCGTTGGAGACGGGAATACATAAAGAAAGTAGACAGCAGCATTCTCGGGAGATTCTTTGTGATGTTTGCTTTGAAGTCACAGAGTTGAATATTCCCTTCAATAGATCAGGTTTGAAACACTCTTTCTGTAGTATCTGGAAGTGGCCATTTCGATCGATTTCAGGCCTATGTTGAAAAAGGAAATATCTCAACATAAAAACTAGACAGAAGCATTCTCAGAAACGTCTTTGTGATGTGTGTCCTCAACTAACAGAGTTCAACCTTTCTTATGATACAGCAGTTGGGAAACACTCTTTTTATAGAATTTGCAAGCTGATACATGGATAGCCCTAACTATTTCATTGGAAACGGGAATATCTTCACATAAAACCTAGACAGAAGCACTCTCAGAAACTACATTGTGATATCTGCATTGATATCAGAGAGTTGAATATTCCCTTTCTAAGGACAGGCTTGAAAGCGTCTTTTTGTGGAATCTGCAGGAGGATATTTGGATAGCTTGGAGGGTTACGTTGGAAACGGGATTACATATACAAAGTAGACAGCAGCATTCTCAGAAGCTTCTTTGTGATGTTTGCGTTTAAGTCACAGAGTTGAACGTTCCCTTTCATAGAGCAGGTTTCAAACCCTCTTTCTGCAGTATCTGGAAGTGGACATTTCGAGCGCTTTCAGGCCCATGGTGAACAAGGAAATATCTTCCCATGCAAACTAGACAGAAGCATTCGCAGAAACTTGTTTGTGATGTGTGTCCTCAACTCAGGGAGTTGAACATTTCGTTTGACAGAGCAGTTTGGAAACACGATTTTTGTAGAATCTGCAAGTGGATATTTGGATGGCTTTGTGGATTTCGTTGGAAACGGGAGTATCTTCACAGACAACCTAGACAGTAACATGCTCAGAAACTGCTTTGTGATATCTGCATTCACGTCACAGAGTTGAACATTCCCTTTCATAGAGCAGGTTTGAAACACACTTTCTGTAGTATCTGGATGTGGGCACTTGGAGCGCTTGGACGCTTATGGTGAAAAAGGACATATCGTCCCATAAAAACTGGACAGAAGCATTCTCACAAACTGCTTTGTGACGTATGTCTTCAACAAACAGAGTTGAACATTTCTATTCACAGAGCAGTTTTGAAAGACTCTTTTGGAGTATCTGCTAGTGGATATTTGGAGAGCTTTAAGGATTTCATTGGAAACCGGAATATCTTCAGGTAAAATCTAGACAGAGGTATTCTCAGAAACTTCTTCGTAATGTGTGTCCTCAACTAACAGTGTACAACCTATCTTTTGATACAGCACGTTGGAAACACTCTTTTTATAGAATCTGCAAGTGGATAGTTGGATAGCTCTAACGATTTCGTTGGAAACGGGAATACCTTCATATAAAATCTAGACAGTGGCACTCTCAGAAACTGCTTTGTGATATCTGCATTCAAGCCACAGAGTTGAACATTTCCCTTCCTAAAGCAGGTTTGAAACACTCTTTTTGTCGTATCTGGAAGTGGACATTTGGAGCACTTTGACGCCTTTGGTGAAAAAGGAAATGTCTTCCCATGAAAACTAGACAGAAGCATTCTAAGAAACATTTTTGGGATATATGTACTCAACTAACAGAGTTGAACCTTTCTCTTTATAGATCAGCTTTGAAAACCTCTTTTTGTGGAATCTGCAAATGGATATTAGGATAGCTCTGAGGATGTCGTTGGAGACGGGATTACATTTAAATAGTAGACAGCAGCATTCTCAGGAGATTCTTTGTGATGTTTGCTTTTAAGTCACAGAGTTGAATATTCCCTTCAATAGAGCAGGTTTGAAACACTCTTTCTGTAGTATCTGGAAGTGGACATTTCGATCGATTACAGGCCTATGTTGAAAAAGGAAATATCTTAACATAAAAACTAGACAGAAGCATTCTCAGAAACGTCGTTGTGATGTGTGTCCTCAACTAACAGAGTTCAACCTTTCTTATGATACGGCAGTTTGGAAACACTCTTTTTATAGAATTTGCAAGTTGATACATGGATAGCCCTAACTATTTCGTTGGAAACGGGAATATCTTCATATAAAACCTAGACAGAAGCACTCTCAGAAACTACTTTGTGATATCTGCATTGATATCAGAGAGTTGAATATTCCCTTTCTAAGGGCAGGCTTGAAAGCGTCTTTTCGTGGAATCTGCAGGAGGATATTTGGATAGCTTTGAGGGTTACGTTGGAAACGGGATTGCATAAACAAAGTAGACAGCAGCATTCTCAGAAGCTTCTTTGTGATGTTTGCGTTTAAGTCACAGAGTTGAACGTTCCCTTTCATAGAGCAGGTTTCAAACCCTCTTTCTGCAGTATCTGGAAGTGGACATTTCGAGCGCTTTCAGGCCTATGGTGAACAAGGAAATATCTTCCCAAGCAAACTAGACAGAAGCATTCGCAGAAACTTGTTTGTGATGTGTGTCCTCAACTCACAGAGTTGAACATTTCGTTTGACAGAGCAGTTTGGAAACACGATTTTTGTAGAATCTGCAAGTGGATATTTGGATGGCTTTGTGGATTTCGTTGGAAACGGGAGTATCTTCATAGAAAACCTAGACAGTAACATGCTCAGAAACTGTTTTGTGATATCTGCATTCACGTCACAGAGTTGAACATTCCCTTTCATAGAGCAGGTTTGAAACACACTTTCTGTAGTATCTGGATGTGGGCACTTGGAGCGCTTGGACGCTTATGGTGAAAAAGGACAGATCGTCCCATAAAAACTGGACAGAAGCATTCTCACAAACTGCTTTGTGACGTATGTCTTCAACTAACAGAGTTGAACATTTCTATTCACAGAGCCGTTTTGAAAGACTCTTTTGGAGTGTCTGCTAGTGGATATTTGGAGAGCTTTAAGGATTTCATTGGAAACCGGAATATCTTCAGGTAAAGTCTAGACAGAGGCATTCTCAGAAACTTCTTCGTAATGTGTGTCCTCAACTAACAGTGTACAACCTATCTTTTGATACAGCACGTTGGAAACACTCTTTTTATAGAATCTGCAAGTGGATAGTTGGGTAGCTCTAACGATTTCATTGGAAACGGGAATACCTTCATATAAAATCTAGACAGTGGCACTCTCAGAAACTGCTTTGTGATATCTGCATTCAAGCCACAGAGTTGAACATTTCCCTTCCTAAAGCAGGTTTGAAACACTCTTTTTGTCGTATCTGGAAGTGGACATTTGGAGCACTTTGACGCCTTTGGTGAAAAAGGAAATGTCTTCCCATCAAAACTAGACAGGAGCATTCTAAGAAACATTTTTGGGATATATGTACTGAACTAACAGAGTTGAACCTTTCTCTTTATAGATCAGTTTTGGAAAGCTCTTTATGTGGAATCTGCAGATGGATATTCGGATAGCTCTGAGGATTTCGTTGGAGACGGGAATACATAAAGAAAGTAGACAGCAGCATTCTCAGGAGATTCTTTCTGATGTTTGCTTCTAAGTCACAGAGTTGAATATTCCCTTCAATAGAGCAAGTTTGAAACACTCTTTCTGTAGTATCTGGAAGTGGACATTTCGATCGATTTCAGGCCTATGTTGAAAAAGGAAATATCTTAACATAAAAACTAGACAGAAGCATTCTCAGAAACGTCGTTGTGATGTGTGTCCTCTACTAACAGAGTTCAACCTTTCTTATGATACGGCAGTTTGGAAACACTCTTTTTATAGAATTTGCAAGTTGATACATGGATAGCCCTAACTATTTCGTTGGAAACGGGAATATCTTCATATAAAACCTAGACAGAAGCACTCTCAGAAACTACTTTGTGATATCTGCATTGATATCAGAGAGTTGAATATTCCCTTTCTAAGGGCAGGCTTGAAAGCGTCTTTTCGTGGAATCTGCAGGAGGATATTTGGATAGCTTTGAGGGTTATGTTGGAAACGGGATTACATGTACAAAGCAGACAGCAGCATTCTCAGAAGCTTCTTTATGATGTTTGCGTTCAAGTCACAGAGTTGAACGTTCCCTTTCATAGAGCAGGTTTCAAACCCTCTTTCTGCAGTATCTGGAAGTGGACATTTCGAGCGCTTTCAGGCCTATGGTGAACAAGGAAAATATCTTCCCATGCATACTAGACAGAAGCATTCGCAGAAACTTGTTTGTGATATGTGTCCTCAACTCACGGAGTTGAGCATTTCGTTTGACAGAGCAGTTTGGAAACACGATTTTTGTAGAATCTGCAAGTGGATATTTGGATGGCTTTGTGGATTTCGTTGGAAACGGGAGTATCTTCTTAGACAACCTAGACAGTAACATGCTCAGAAACTGCTTTGTGATATCTGCATTCACGTCACAGAGTTGAACATTCCCTTTCATAGAGCAGGTTTGAAACACACTTTCTGTAGTATCTGGATGTGGGCACTTGGAGCGCTTGGACGCTTATGGTGAAAAAGGACATATCGTCCCATAAAAACTGGACAGAAGCATTCTCACAAACTGCTTTGTGACGTATGTCTTCAACTAACAGAGTTGAACATTTCTATTCACAGAGCAGTTTTGAAAGACTCTTTTGGAGTATCTGCTAGTGGATATTTGGAGAGCTTTAAGGATTTCATTGGAAACCGGAATATCTACAGGTAAAATCTAGACAGAGGCATTCTCAGAAACTTCTTCGTAATGTGTGTCCTCAACTAACAGTGTACAACCTATCTTTTGATACAGCACGTTGGAAACACTCTTTTTATAGAATCTGCAAGTGGATAGAATCTGCAAGTGGATAGTTTCCAACGATTTCGTTGGAAACGGGAATACCTTCATATAAAATCTAGACAGTGGCACTCTCAGAAACTGCTTTGTGATATCTGCATTCAAGCCACAGAGTTGAACATTTCCCTTCCTATAGCAGGTTTGAAACACTCTTTCTGTCGTATCTGGAAGTGGACATTTGGAGCACTTTGACGCCTTTGGTGAAAAAGGAAATGTCTTCCCATCAAAACTAGACAGAAGCATTCTAAGAAACATTTTTGGGATATATATACTCAACTAACAGAGTTGAACCTTTCTCTTTATAGATCAGTTTTGGAAAGCTCTTTATGTGGAATCTGCAGATGGATATTCGGGTAGCTCTGAGGATTTCGTTGGAGACGGGAATACATTAAGAAAGTAGACAGCAGCATTCTCAGGAGATTCTTTCTGATGTTTGCTTCTAAGTCACAGAGTTGAATATTCCCTTCAATAGAGCAAGTTTGAAACACTCTTTCTGTAGTATCTGGAAGTGGACATTTCGATCGATTTCAGGCCTATGTTGAAAAAGGAAATATCTTAACATAAAAACTAGACAGAAGCATTCTCAGAAACGTCTTTGTGATGTGTGTCCTCAACTAACAGAGTTCAACCTTTCTTATGATACAGCAGTTTGGAAACACTCTTTTTATAGAATTTGCATGTTGATATATGGATAGCCCTAACTATTTCGTTGGAAACGGGAATATCTTCATATAAAACCTAGACAGAAGCACTCTCAGAAACTACTTTGTGATATCTGCATTGATATCAGAGAGTTGAATATTCCCTTTCTAAGGGCAGGCTTGAAAGCGTCTTTTCGTGGAATCTGCAGGAGGATATTTGGATAGCTTGGAGGGTTACGTTGGAAACGGGATTACATATACAAAGTAGACAGCAGCATTCTCAGAAGCTTCTTTATGATGTTTGCGCTCAAGTCACAGAGTTGAACGTTCCCTTTCATAGAGCAGGTTTCAAACCCTCTTTCTGCAGTATCTGGAAGTGGACATTTCGAGCGCTTTCAGGCCTATGGTGAACAAGGAAATATCTTCCCATGCAAACTAGACAGAAGCATTCGCAGAAACTTGTTTGTGATGTGTGTCCTCAACTCACAGAGTTGAACATTTCGTTTGACAGAGCAGTTTGGAAACTCGCTTTTTGTAGAATCTGCAAGTGGATATTTGGATAGCTTTGTGGATTTCGTTGGAAAGGGGAGTATCTTCATGGAAAAACTAGACAGAGGCACTCTCAGAAACTGCTTTGTGATATCTGCATTCAAGCCACAGAGTTGAACATTTCCCTTCCTAAAGCAGGTTTTGAAACACTCTTTTTGTCGTATCTGGAAGTGGACATTTGGAGCACTTTGACGCCTTTGGTGAAAAAGGAAATGTCTTCCCATGAAAACTAGACAGAAGCATTCTAAGAAACTTCTTTGGGATATATGTACTCAACTAACAGAGTTGAACCTTTCTCTTTATAGATCAGTTTTGAAAAGCTCTTTGTGTGGAATCTGCAAATGGTTATTAGGATAGCTCTGAGGATTTCGTTGGAGACGGGATTACATATAAAAAGTAGACAGCAGCATTCTCGGGAGATTCTTTGTGATGTTTGCTTTGAAGTCACAGAGTTGAATATTCCCTTCAATAGAGCAGGTTTGAAACACTCTTTCTGTAGTATCTGGAAGTGGACATTTCGATCGATTTCAGGCCTATGTTGAAAAAGGAAATATCTTAACATAAAAACTAGACAGAAGCATTCTCAGAAACGTCTTTGTGATGTGTGTCCTCAACTAACAGAGTTCAACCTTTCTTATGATACAGCAGTTTGGAAACACTCTTTTTATAGAGTTTACAAGTTGATACATGGATAGCCCTAACTTTTTCGTTGGAAACGGGAATATCTTCATATAAAACCTAGACAGAAGCACTCTCAGAAACTACTTTGTGGTATCTGCATTGATATCAGAGAGTTGAATATTCCCTTTCTAAGGGCAGGCTTGAAAGCGTCTTTTCGTGGAATCTGCAGGAGGATATTTGGATAGCATGGAGGGTTACGTTGGAAACGGGATTACGTATACAAAGTAGACAGCAGCATTCTCAGAAGCTTCTTTATAATGTTTGCGTTTAACTCACAGAGTTGAACGTTCCCTTTCACAGAGCAGGTTTCAAACCCTCTTTCTGCAGTATGTGGAATTGGACATTTCGAGCGCTTTCAGGCCTATGGTGAACAAGGAAATATCTTCCCATGCAAACTAGACAGAAGCATTCGCAGAAACTTGTTTGTGATGTGTGTCCTCAACTCACAGAGTTGAACATTTCGTTTGACAGAGCAGTTTGGAAACACGATTTTTGTAGAATCTGCAAGTGGATATTTGGATGGCTTTGTGGATTTCGTTGGAAACGGGAGTATCTTCATAGACAACCTAGACAGTGTAACATGCTCAGAAACTGCTTTGTGATATCTGCATTCACGTCACAGAGTTGAACATTCCGTTTCATAGAGCAGGTTTGAAACACACTTTCTGTAGTATCTGGATGTGGGCACTTGGAGCGCTTGGACGCTTATGGTGAAAAAGGACATATCGTCCCATAAAAACTGGACAGAAGCATTCTCACAAACTGCTTTGTGACGTATGTCTTCAACTAACAGAGTTGAACATTTCTATTCACAGAGCAGTTTTGAAAGACTCTTTTGGAGTATCTGCTAGTGGATATTTGGAGAGCTTTAAGGATTTCATTGGAAACCGGAATATCTTCAGGTAAAATCTAGACAGAGGCATTCTCAGAAACTTCTTCGTAATGTGTGTCCTCAACTAACAGTGTACAACCTATCTTTTGATACAGCACGTTGGAAACACTCTTTTTATAGAATCTGCAAGTGGATAGTTGGATAGCTCTAACGATTTCATTGGAAACGGGAATACCTTCATATAAAATCTAGACAGTGGCACTCTCAGAAACTGCTTTGTGATATCTGCATTCAAGCCACAGAGTTGAACATTTCCCTTCCTAAAGCAGGTTTGAAACACTCTTTCTGTCGTATCTGGAAGTGGACATTTGGAGCACTTTGACCCCTTTGGTGAAAAAGGAAATGTCTTCCCATCAAAACTAGACAGAAGCATTCTAAGAAACATTTTTGGGATATATGTACTCAACTAACAGAGTTCAACCTTTCTCTTTATATATCAGTTTTGGAAAGCTCTTTATGTGGAATCTGCAGATGGATATTCGGATAGCTCTGAGGATTTCGTTGGAGACGGGAATACATAAAGAAAGTAGACAGCAGCATTCTCGGGAGATTCTTTGTGATGTTTGCTTTGAAGTCACAGAGTTGAATATTCCCTTCAATAGAGCAGGTTTGAAACACTCTTTCTGTAGTATCTGGAAGTGGACATTTCCATCGATTTCAGGCCTATGTTGAAAAAGGAAATATCTTAACATAAAAACTAGACAGAAGCATTCTCAGAAACGTCTTTGTGATGTGTGTCCTCAACTAACAGAGTTCAACCTTTCTTATGATACAGCAGTTTGGAAACACTCTTTTTATAGAATTTGCAAGTTGATACATGGATAGCCCTAACTATTTCGTTGGAAACGGGAATATCTTCATATAAAACCTAGGCAGAAGCACTCTCAGAAACTACTTTGTGATATCTGCATTGATATCAGAGAGTTGAATATTCCCTTTCTAAGGGCAGGCTTGAAAGCGTCTTTTTGTGGAATCTGCAGGAGGATATTTGGATAGCTTGGAGGGTTACGTTGGAAACGGGATTACATATACAAAGTAGACAGCAGCATTCTCAGAAGCTTCTTTATGATATTTGCGTTCAAGTCACAGAGTTGAACGTTCCCTTTCATAGAGCAGGTTTCAAACCCTCTTTCTGCAGTATCTTGAAGTGGACATTTCGAGCGCTTTCAGGCCTATGGTGAACAAGGAAATATCTTCCCATGCATACTAGACAGAAGCTTTCGCAGAAACATGTTTGCGATATGTGTTCTCAACTCACAGAGTTGAACATTTCGTTGGACAGAGCAGTTTGGAAACACGCTTTTTGCAGAATCTGCAAGTGGATATTTGGAAAGCTTTGTGGATTTCGTTGGAAACGGGAGTACCTTCATAGAAAACCTAGACAGAAACATTCTAAGAAACTGCTTTGTGATATCTGCATTCACGTCACAGAGTTGAACATTCCCTTTCAAGAGCAGGTTTGAAACACTCTTTCTGTAGTATCTGGATGTGGACACTTGGAGCGCTTGGACGCTTACGGTGAAAAAGGAAATGTCTTCCCATAAAAACTAGACAGAAGCATTCTCACAAACTGCTTTGTGACGTATGTCTTCAACTAACAGAGTTGAACATTTCTATTCACAGAGCAGTTTTGAAAGACTCTTTTGGAGTATCTGCTAGTGGATATTTGGAGAGCTTTAAGGATTTCATTGGAAACCGGAATATCTTCAGGTAAAATCTAGACAGAGGCATTCTCAGAAACTTCTTTGTCATGTGTGTCCTCAACTAACAGTGTACAACCTATCTTTTGATACAGCACGTTGGAAACACTCTTTTTATAGAATCTGCAAGTGGATATTTGGATAGCTCTAACGATTTCGTTGGAAACGGGAATACCTTCATATAAAATCTAGACAGTGGCACTCTCAGAAACTGCTTTGTGATATCTGCATTCAAGCCACAGAGTTGAACATTTTCCTTCCTAAAGCAGGTTTGAAACACTCTTTCTGTCGTATCTGGAAGTGGACATTTGGAGCACTTTGACGCCTTTGGTGAAAAAGGAAATGTCTTCCCATCAAAACTAGACAGAAGCGTTCTAAGAAACATTTTTGGGATATATGTACTCAACTAACGGAGTTGAACCTTTCTCTCTATAGATCAGTTTTGGAAAGCTCTTTATGTGGAATCTGCAGATGGATATTCGGATAGCTCTGAGGGTTTCGTTGGAGACGGGAATACATAAAGAAAGTAGACAGCAGCATTCTCAGGAGATTCTTTCTGATGTTTGCTTCTAAGTCACAGAGTTGAATATTCCCTTCAATAGAGCAAGTATGAAACACTCTTTCTGTAGTATCTGGAAGTGGACATTTCGATCGATTTCAGGCCTATGTTGAAAAAGGAAATATCTTAACATAAAAACTAGACAGAAGCATTCTCAGAAACGTCGTTGTGATGTGTGTCCTCAACTAACAGAGTTCAACCTTTCTTATGATACGGCAGTTTGGAAACACTCTTTTTATAGAATTTGCAAGTTGATACATGGATAGCCCTAACTATTTCGTTGGAAACGGGAATATCTTCATATAAAACCTAGACAGAAGCACTCTCAGAAACTACTTTGTGATATCTGCATTGATATCAGAGAGTTGAATATTCCCTTTCTAAGGGCAGGCTTGAAAGCGTCTTTTCGTGGAATCTGCAGGAGGATATTTGGATAGCTTTGAGGGTTACGTTGGAAACGGGATTGCATATACAAAGTAGACAGCAGCATTCTCAGAAGCTTCTTTGTGATGTTTGCGTTTAAGTCACAGAGTTGAACGTTCCCTTTCGTAGAGCAGGTTTCAAACCCTCTTTCTGCAGTATCTGGAAGTGGACATTTCGAGCGCTTTCAGGCCCATGGTGAACAAGGAAATATCTTCCCATGCAAACTAGACAGAAGCATTCGCAGAAACTTGTTTGTGATGTGTGTCCTCAACTCACAGAGTTGAACATTTCGTTTGACAGAGCAGTTTGGAAACACGATTTTTGCAGAATCTGCAAGTGGATATTTGGATGGCTTTGTGGATTTCGTTGGAAACGGGAGTATCTTCATAGACAACCTAGACAGTAACATTCTCAGAAACGGCTTTGTGATATCCGCATTCACGTCACAGAGTTGAACTTTCCCTCTCATAGAGCAGGCTTGAAACACACTTTCTGTAGTATCTGGATGTGGGCACTTGGAGCGCTTGGACGCTTATGGTGAAAAAGGAAATATCGTCCCATAAAAACTAGACAGAAGCATTCTCACAAACTGCTTTGTGACTTATGTCTTCAACTAACAGAGTTGAACATTTCTATTCACAGAGCCGTTTTGAAAGACTCTTTTGGAGTGTCTGCTAGTGGATATTTGGAGAGCATTAAGGATTTCATTGGAAACCGGAATATCTTCAGGTAAAATCTAGACAGAGGCATTCTCAGAAACTTCTTTGTAATGTGTGTCCTCAACTAACAGTGTACAACCTATCTTTTGATACAGCACGTTGGAAACACTCTTTTTATAGAATCTGCAATTGGATAGTTGGATAGCTCTAACGATTTCGTTGGAAACGGGAATACCTTCATATAAAATCTAGACAGTGGCACTCTCAGAAACTGCTTTGTGATATCTGCATTCAAGCCACAGAGTTGGACATTTCCCTTCCTAAAGCAGGTTTGAAACACTCTTTTTGTCGTATCTGGAAGTGGACATTTGGAGCACTTTGACGCCTTTGGTGAAAAAGGAAATGTCTTCCCATCAAAACTAGACAGAAACATTCTAAGAAACATTTTTGGGATATATGTA
Organism: Homo sapiens; assembly: GCF_000001405.40. Classification (NCBI taxonomy): domain Eukaryota; kingdom Metazoa; phylum Chordata; class Mammalia; order Primates; family Hominidae; genus Homo; species Homo sapiens. Next base: position 15,757,428 of record NC_000018.10, read on the forward strand.
CTCAACTAACAGAGTTGAACCTTTCTCTTTATAGATCAGTTTTGGAAAGCTCTTTATGTGGAATCTGCAGATGGATATTCGGATAGCTCTGAGGATTTCGTTGGAGACGGGAATACATAAAGAAACTAGACAGCAGCATTCTCGGGAGATTCTTTGTGATGTTTGCTTTGAAGTCACAGAGTTGAATATTCCCTTCAATAGAGCAGGTTTGAAACACTCTTTCTGTAGTATCTGGAAGTGGACATTTCGATCGATTTCAGGCCTATGTTGAAAAAGGAAATATCTTAACATAAAAACTAGACAGAAGCATTCTCAGAAACGTCCTTGTGATGTGTGTCCTCAACTAACAGAGTTCAACCTTTCTTATGATAAAGCAGTTTGGAAACACACTTTTTATAGAGTTTGCAAGTTGATACATGGATAGCCCTAACTATTTCGTTGGAAACGGGAATATCTTCATATAAAACCTAGAGAGAAGCACTCTCAGAAACTACTTTGTGATATCTGCATTGATATCAGAGAGTTGAATATTCCCTTTCTAAGGGCAGGCTTGAAAGCGTCTTTTCGTGGAATCTGCAGGAGGATACTTGGATAGCTTTGAGGGTTACGTTGGAAACGGGATTACATATACAAAGTAGACAGCAGCATTCTCAGAAGCTTCTTTGTGATGTTTGCGTTTAAGTCACAGAGTTGAACGTTCCCTTTCATAGAGCAGGTTTCAAACCCTGTTTCTGCAGTATCTGGAAGTGGACATTTCGAGCGCTTTCAGGCCCATGGTGAACAAGGAAATATCTTCCCAAGCAAACTAGACAGAAGCATTCGCAGAAACTTGATTGTGATGTGTGTCCTCAACTCACGGAGTTGAACATTTCGTTTGACAGAGCAGTTTGGAAACACGATGTTTGTAGAATCTGCAAGTGGATATTTGGATGGCTTTGTGGATTTCGTTGGAAACGGGAGTATCTTCACAGACAACCTAGACAGTAACATTCTCAGAAACGGCTTTGTGATATCCGTATTCACGTCACAGAGTTGAACATTCCCTTTCATAGAGCAGGTTTGAAACACCCTTTCTGAAGTATCTGGATGTGGGCACTTGGAGCTCTTGGACGCTTATGGTGAAAAAGGAAATATCGTCCCATAAAACCTAGACAGAAGCATTCTCACAAACTGCTTTGTGACGTATGTCTTCAACTAACAGAGTTGAACATTTCTATTCACAGAGCAGTTTTGAAAGACTCTTTTGGAGTGTCTGCTAGTGGATATTTGGAGAGCTTTAAGGATTTCATTGGAAACCGGAATATCTTCAGGTAAAATCTAGACAGAGGCATTCTCAGAAACTTCTTTGTAATGTGTGTCCTCAACTAACAGTGTACAACCTATCTTTTGATACAGCACGTTGGAAACACTCTTTTTATAGAATCTGCAAGTGGATAGCTGGATAGCTCTAATGATTTCGTTGGAAACGGGAAGACCTTCATATAAAATCTAGACAGTGGCACTCTCAGAAACTGCTTTGTGATATCTACATTCAAGCCACAGAGTTGAACATTTCCCTTCCTAAAGCAGGTTTGAATCACTCGTTTTGTCGTATCTGGAAGTGGACATTTGGAGCACTTTGACGCCTTTGGTGAAAAAGGAAATGTCTTCCCGTCAAAACGAGACAGAAGCATTCTAAGAAACATTTTTGGGATATATGTACTCAACTAACAGAGTTGAACCTTCCTCTTTATAGATCAGTTTTGGAAAGCTCTTTACGTGGAATCTGCAAGTGGATATTCGGATAGATCTCAGGATTTCGCTGGAGACGGGAATACATAAAGAAAGTAGACAGCAGCATTCTCAGGAGATTCTTTGTGATGTTTGCTTCTAAGTCACAGAGTTGAATATTCCCTTCAATAGAGCAGGTTTTAAACACTCTTTCTGTAGTATCTGGAAGTGGACATTTCGATCGATTTCAGGCCTATGTTGAAAAAGGAAATACCTTAACATAAAAACTAGACAGATAAACATTCTCAGAAACGTCTTTGTGATGTGTGTCCTCAACTAACAGAGTTCAACCTTTCTTATGATACAGCAGTTTGGAAACACTCTTTTTATAGAATTTGCAAGTTGATACATGGATAGCCCTAACTATTTCGTTGGAAACGGGAATATCTTCATATAAAACCTAGGCAGAAGCACTCTCAGAAACTAATTTGTGATATCTGCATTCATATCACAGAGTTGAATATTCCCTTTCTAAGAGCGGGTTTGAAACCGTCTTTCTGTGGAATCTGCAGGAGGATATTTGGATAGCTTTGAGGATTTCGTTGGAAACGGGATTACATATACAAAGTAGACAGCAGCATTCTCAGAAGCTTCTTTGTGATGTTTGATTTTAAGTCACACAGTTGAACATTCCCTTTCGTAGAGCAGGTTTCAAACACTCTTTCTGTAGTATCTGGAAGTGGACATTTCGAGCGCTTTCAGGCCCATGGAGAACAAGGAAATATCTTCCCATGAAACCTAGACAGAAGCATTCGCAGAAACTTGTTTGTGATGTGTGTCCTCAACTCACAGAGTTGAACATTTCGTTTGACAGAGCAGTTTGGAAACACGATTTTTGTAGAATCTGCAAGTGGATATTTGGATGGCTTTGTGGATTTCGTTGGAAACGGGAGTATCTTCATAGAAAACCTAGACAGTAACATGCTCAGAAACTGCTTTGTGATATCTGCATTCACGTCACAGAGTTGAACATTCCCTTTCATAGAGCAGGTTTGAAACACACTTTCTGTAGTATCTGGATGTGGGCACTTGGAGCGCTTGGACGCTTATGGTGAAAAAGGACATATCGTTCCATAAAAACTGGACAGAAGCATTCTCACAAACTGCTTTGTGACGTATGTTGTCAGCTAACAGTGTTGAACATTTCTATTCACAGAGCAGTTTTGAAAGACTCATTTGGAGTATCTGCTAGTGGATATTTGGAGAGCTTTTAGGATTTCATTGGAAACCGGAATATCTTCAGGTAAAATCTAGACAGAGGCATTCTCAGAAACTTCTTTGTAATGTGTGTCCTCAACTAACAGTGTACAACCTATCTTTTGATACAGCACGTTGGAAACACTCTTTTTATAGAATCTGCAAGTGGATAGTTGGATAGCTCTAACAATTTCGTTGGAAACGGGAATACCTTCATATAAAATCTAGACAGTGGCACTCTCAGAAACTGCTTTGTGATATCTGCATTCAAGCCACAGAGTTGAACATTTCCCTTCCTAAAGCAGGTTTGAAACACTCTTTTTGTCGTATCTGGAAGTGGACATTTGGAGCACTTTGACGCCTTTGGTGAAAAAGGAAATGTCTTCCCATGAAAACTAGACAGAAGCATTCTAAGAAACATTTTTGGGATATATGTACTCAACTAACAGAGTTGAACCTTTCTCTTTATAGATCAGTTTCGGAAAGCTCTTTATGTGGAATCTGCAGATGGATATTCGCATAGCTCTGAGGATTTCGTTGGAGACGGGAATACATAAAGAAAGTAGACAGCAGCATTCTCGGGAGATTCTTTGTGATGTTTGCTTTTAAGTCACAGAGTTGAATATTCCCTTCAATAGAGCAGGTTTGAAACACTCTTTCTCTAGTATCTGGAAGTGGACATTTTGATCGATTTCTGGCCTATGTTGAAAAAGGAAATATCTTAACATAAAAACTAGACAGAAGCATTCTCAGAAACGTCTTTGTGATGTGTGTCCTCAACTAACAGAGTTCAACCTTTCTTATGATACAGCAGTTTGGAAACACTCTTTTTATAGAATTTGCAAGTTGATACATGGATAGCCCTAACTATTTCGTTGGAAACGGGAATATCTTCATATAAAACCTAGGCAGAAAGCACTCTCAGAAACTACTTTGTGATATCTGCATTGATATCAGAGAGTTGAATATTCCCTTTCTAAGGGCAGGCTTGAAAGCGTCTTTTCGTGGAATCTGCAGGAGGATATTTGGATAGCTTTGAGGGTTACGTTGGAAACGGGATTACATGTACAAAGCAGACAGCAGCATTCTCAGAAGCTTCTTTATGATGTTTGCGTTCAAGTCACAGAGTTGAACGTTCCCTTTCATAGAGCAGGTTTCAAACCCTCTTTCTGCAGTATCTGGAAGTGGACATTTCGAGCGCTTTCAGGCCTATGGTGAACAAGGAAATATCTTCCCATGCAAACTAGACAGAAGCATTCGCAGAAACTTGTTTGTGATGTGTGTCCTCAACTCACAGAGTTGAACATTTCGTTTGACAGAGCAGTTTGGAAACACGATATTTGTAGAATCTGCAAGTGGATATTTGGATGGCTTTGTGGATTTCGTTGGAAACGGGAGTATCCTCATAGAAAACCTAGACAGTAACATTCTCAGAAACGGCTTTGTGATATCCGCATTCACGTCACAGAGTTGAACATTCCCTTTCATAGAGCAGGTTTGAAACACCCTTTCTGAAGTATCTGGATGTGGGCACTTGGAGCTCTTGGACGCTTATGGTGAAAAAGGAAATATCGTCCCATAAAACCTAGACAGAAGCATTCTCACAAACTGCTTTGTGACGTATGTCGTCAGCTAACAGAGTTGAGCATTTCTATTCACAGAGCAGTTTTGAAAGACTCTTTTGGAGTATCTGCTAGTGGATATGTGGAGAGCTTTAAGGATTTCACCGGAAACCGGAATATCTTCAGGTAAAATCTAGACAGAGGCATTCTCAGAAACTTCTTTGTAATGTGTGTCCTCAACTAACAGTGTACAACCTATCTTTTGATACAGCACGTTGGAAACACTCTTTTTATAGAATCTGCAAGTGGATATTTGGATAGCTCTAACGATTTCGTTGGAAACGGGAATACCTTCATATAAAATCTAGACAGTGGCACTCTCAGAAACTGCTTTGTGATATCTGCATTCAAGCCACAGAGTTGAACATTTCCCTTCCTAAAGCAGGTTTGAAACACTCGTTTTGTCGTATCTGGAAGTGGACATTTGGAGCACTTTGACACTTTTGGTGAAAAAGGAAATGTCCTCCCGTCAAAACTAGACAGAAGCATTCTAAGAAACATTTTTGGGATATATGTACTCAACTAACAGAGTTGAACCTTTCTCTTTATAGATCAGTTTTGGAAAGCTCTTTATGTGGAATCTGCAGATGGATATTCGGATAGCTCTGAGGATTTCGTTGGAGACGGGAATACATAAAGAAAGTAGACAGCAGCATTCTCGGGAGATTCTTTGTGATGTTTGCTTTGAAGTCACAGAGTTGAATATTCCCTTCAATAGAGCAGGTTTGAAACACTCTTTCTGTAGTATCTGGAAGTGGCCATTTCGATCGATTTCAGGCCTATGTTGAAAAAGGAAATATCTTAACATAAAAACTAGACAGAAGCATTCTCAGAAACGTCTTTGTGTTGTGTGTCCTCAACTAACAGTGTTCAACCTTTCTTATGATACAGCAGTTTGGAAACACTCTTTTTATAGAATTTGCAAGTTGATACATGGATAGCCCTAACTATTTCCTTGGAAACGGGAATATCTTCATATAAAACCTAGACAGAAGCACTCTCAGAAACTATTTTGTGATATCTGCATTGATATCAGAGAGTTGAATATTCCCTTTCTAAGGGAAGGCTTGAAAGCGTCTTTTCGTGGAATCTGCAGGAGGATATTTGGATAGCTTTGAGGGTTATGTTGGAAACGGGATTACATATACAAAGTAGACAGCAGCATTCTCAGAAGCTTCTTTGTGATGTTTGCGTTTAAGTCACAGAGTTGAACGTTCCCTTTCATAGAACAGGTTTCAAACCCTCTTTCTGCAGTATCTGGAAGTGGACATTTCGAGCGCTTTCATGCCTATGGTGAACAAGGAAATATCTTCCCAAGCAAACAAGACAGAAAGCATTCGCAGAAACTTGTTTGTGATGTGTGTCCTCAACTCACAGATTTGAACATTTCGTTTGACAGAGCAGTTTGGAAACACGATTTTTGTAGAATCTGCAAGTGGATATTTGGATGGCTTTGTGGATTTCATTGGAAACGGGAGTATCTTCATAGAAAACCTAGACAGTTAACATTCTCAGTAAACGGCTTTGTGATATCCGCATTCACGTCACAGAGTTGAACATTCCCTTTCATAGAGCAGGTTTGAAACACCCTTTCTGAAGTATCTGGATGTGGGCACTTGGAGCTCTTGGACGCTTATGGTGAAAAAGGAAATATCGTCCCATAAAACCTAGACAGAAGCATTCTCACAAACTGGTTTGTGATGTATGTCCTCAACTAACAGAGTTGAACATTTCAATTTACAGAGCAGTTTTGAAAGACTCTATGTGGAGAATCTGCAAGTGGATATTCGGAGAGCTTTTATTGAAGAGCTTTAAGGATTTTATTGGGAACCGGAATATCTTCAGGTAAAAACTAGACAGAGGCATTCTCAGAAACTTCTTCGTAATGTGTGTCCTCAACTAACAGTGTACAACCTATCTTTTGATACAGCACGTTGGAAACACTCTTTTTATAGAATCTGCAAGTGGATAGTTGGATAGCTCTAACGATTTCGTTGGAAACGGGAATACCTTCATATAAAATCTAGACAGTGGCACTCTCAGAAACTGCTTTGTGATATCTGCATTCAAGCCACAGAGTTGAACATTTCCCTTCCTAAAGCAGGTTTGAAACACTCTTTTTGTCGTATCTGGAAGTGGACATTTGGAGCACTTTGACGCCTTTGGTGAATAAGGAAATGTCTTCCCATCAAAACTAGACAGAAGCATTCTAAGAAACATTTTTGGGATATATGTACTCAACTAACAGAGTTGAACCTTCCTCTTTATAGATCAGTTTTGGAAAGCTCTTTATGTGGAATCTGCAAGTGGATATTCGGATAGCTCTGAGGATTTCGCTGGAGACGGGAATACATAAAGAAAGTAGACAGCAGCATTCTCAGGAGATTCTTTGTGATGTTTGCTTTTAAGTCACAGAGTTGAATATTCCCTTCAATAGAGCAGGTTTGAAACACTCTTTCTGTAGTATCTGGAAGTGGACATTTCGATCGATTACACGCCTATGTTGAAAAAGGAAATATATTAACATAAAAACTAGACAGAAGCATTCTCAGAAACGTCTTTGTGATGTGTGTCCTCAACTAACAGAGTTCAACCTTTCTTATGATACAGCAGTTGGGAAACACTCTTTTTATAGAATTTGCAAGTTGATACATGGATAGCCCTAACTATTTCGTTGGAAACGGGAATATCTTCATATAAAACCTAGGCAGAAGCATTCTCAGAAACTACTTTGTGATATCTGCATTGATATCAGAGAGTTGAATATTCCCTTTCTAAGGGCAGGCTTGAAAGCGTCTTTTCGTGGAATCTGCAGGAGGATATTTGGATAGCTTTGAGGGTTACGTTGGAAACGAGATTACATATACAAAGTAGACAGCAGCATTCTCAGAAGCTTCTTTATGATGTTTGCGTTCAAGTCACAGAGTTGAACGTTCCCTTTCATAGAGCAGGTTTCAAACCCTCTTTCTGCAGTATCTGGAAGTGGACATTTCGAGCGCTTTCAGGCCTATGGTGAACAAGGAAATATCTTCCCATGCAAACTAGACAGAAGCATTCGCAGAAACTTGTTTGTGATGTGTGTCCTCAACTCACAGAGTTGAACATTTCGTTTGACAGAGCAGTTTGGAAACGCGATTTTTGCAGAATCTGCAAGTGGATATTTGGATGGCTTTGTGGATTTCGTTGGAAACGGGAGTATCTTCATAGACAACCTAGACAGTAACATGCTCAGAAACTGTTTTGTGATATCTGCATTTACGTCACAGAGTTGAACATTCCCTTTCATAGAGCAGGTTTGAAACACACTTTCTGTAGTATCTGGATGTGGGCACTTGGAGCGCTTGGACGCTTATGGTGAAAAAGGACATATCGTCCATAAAAACTGGACAGAAGCATTCTCACAAACTGCTTTGTGACGTATGTCGTCAGCTAACAGAGTTGAGCATTTCTATTCACAGAGCAGTTTTGAAAGACTCTTTTGGAGTATCTGCTAGTGGATATGTGGAGAGCTTTAAGGATTTCACCGGAAACCGGAATATCTTCAGGTAAAATCTAGACAGAGGCATTCTCAGAAACTTCTTTGTAATGTGTGTCCTCAACTAACAGTGTACAACCTATCTTTTGATACAGCACGTTGGAAACACTCTTTTTATAGAATCTGCAAGTGGATATTTGGATAGCTCTAACGATTTCGTTGGAAACGGGAATACCTTCATATAAAATCTAGACAGTGGCACTCGCAGAAACTGCTTTGTGATATCTGCATTCAAGCCACAGAGTTGAACATTTCCCTTCCTAAAGCAGGTTTGAAACACTCTTTCTGTCGTATCTGGAAGTGGACATTTGGAGCACTTTGATGCCTTTGGTGAAAAAGGAAATGTCTTCCCATCAAAACTAGACAGAAGCATTCTAAGAAACATTTTTGGGATATATGTACTCAAGTAACAGAGTTGAACCTTTCTCTTTACAGATCAGTTTTGGAAAGCTCTTTATGTGGAATCTGCAGATGGATATTCGGATAGCTCTGAGGATTTCGTTGGAGACGGGAATACATAAAGAAAATAGACAGCAGCATTCTCGGGAGATCCTTTGTGATGGTTGCTTTTAAGTCACAGAGTTGAATATTCCCTTCAATAGAGCAGGTTTGAAACACTCTTTCTGTAGTATCTGGAAGTGGCCATTTCGATCGATTTCAGGCCTATGTTGAAAAAGGAAATATCTCTACATAAAAACTAGACAGAAGCATTCTCAGAAACGTCTTTGTGATGTGTGTCCTCAACTAACAGAGTTCAACCTTTCTTATGATACAGCAGTTGGGAAACACTCTTTTTATAGAATTTGCAAGTTGATACATGGATAGCCCTAACTATTTCGTTGGAAACGGGAATATCTTCACATAAAACCTAGACAGAAGCACTCTCAGAAACTACTTTGTGATATCTGCATTGATATCAGAGAGTTGAATATTCCCTTTCTAAGGGCAGGCTTGAAAGCGTCTTTTTGTGGAATCTGCAGGAGGATATTTGGATAGCTTGGAGGGTTACGTTGGAAACGGGATTACATATACAAAGTAGACAGCAGCATTCTCAGAAGCTTCTTTATGATGTTTGCGTTCAAGTCACAGAGTTGAACGTTCCGTTTCATAGAGCAGGTTTCAAACCCTCTTTCTGCAGTATCTGGAAGTGGACATTTCGAGCGCTTTCAGGCCTATGGTGAACAAGGAAATATCTTCCCATGCAAACTAGACAGAAGCATTCGCAGAAACTTGTTTGTGATGTGTGTCCTCAACTCACAGAGTTGAACATTTGGTTTGACAGAGCAGTTTGGAAACACGATTTTTGTAGAATCTGCAAGTGGATATTTGGATGGCTTTGTGGATTTCGTTGGAAACGGGAGTATCTTCATAGAAAACCTAGACAGTAACATTCTCAGAAACGGCTTTGTGATATCCGCATTCACGTCACAGAGTTGAACATTCCCTTTCATAGAGCAGGTTTGAAACACCCTTTCTGAAGTATCTGGATGTGGGCACTTGGAGCTACTTGGACGCTTATGGTGAAAAAGGAAATATCGTCCCATAAAACCTAGACAGAAGCATTCTCACAAACTGCTTTGAGTACGTATGTCGTCAGCTAACAGAGTTGAACATTTCTATTCACAGAGCAGTTTTGAAAGACTCTTTTGGAGTATCTGCTAGTGGATATTTGGAGAGCTTTAAGGATTTCACCGGAAACCGGAATATCTTCAGGTAAAATCTAGACAGAGGCATTCTCAGAAACTTCTTTGTAATGTGTGTCCTCAACTAACAGTGTACAACCTATCTTTTGATACAGCACGTTGGAAACACTCTTTTTATAGAATCTGCAAGTGGATATTTGGATAGCTCTAACGATTTCGTTGGAAACGGGAATACCTTCATATAAAATCCTAGACAGTGGCACTCTCAGAAACTGCTTTGTGATATCTGCATTCAAGCCACAGAGTTGAACATTTCCCTTCCTAAAGCAGGTTTGAAACACTCTTTTTGTCGTATCTGGAAGTGGACATTTGGAGCACTTTGACGCCTTTGGTGAAAAAGGAAATGTCTTCCCATCAAAACTAGACAGAAGCATTCTAAGAAACATTTTTGGGATATATGTACTCAACTAACAGAGTTGAACCTTTCTCTTTATAGATCAGTTTTGGAAAGCTCTTTATGTGGAATCTGCAAATGGATATTCGGATAGCTCTGAGGATTTCGTTGGAGACGGGAATACATAAAGAAATTAGACAGCAGCATTCTCGGGAGATTCTTTGTGATGTTTGCTTTTAAGTCACAGAGTTGAATATTCCCTTCAATAGAGCAGGCTTGAAACACTCTTTCTGTAGTATCTGGAAGTGGCCATTTCGATCGATTTCAGGCCTATGTTGAAAAAGGAAATATCTTAACATAAAAACTAGACAGAAGCATTCTCAGAAACGTCTTTGTGATGTGTGTCCTCAACTAACAGAGTTCAACCTTTCTTATGATACAGCAGTTGGGGAACACCCTTTTTATAGAATTTGCAAGCTGATACATGGATAGCCCTAACTATTTCGTTGGAAACGGGAATATCTTCACATAAAACCTAGACAGAAGCACTCTCAGAAACTACTTTGTGATATCTGCATTGATATCAGAGAGTTGAATATTCCCTTTCTAAGGGCAGGCTTGAAAGCGTCTTTTCGTGGAATCTGCAGGAGGATATTTGGATAGCTTTGAGGGTTACGTTGGAAACGGGATTACATGTACAAAGCAGACAGCAGCATTCTCAGAAGCTTCTTTATGATGTTTGCGTTGAAGTCACAGAGTTGAACGTTCCCTTTCATAGAGCAGGTTTCAAACCCTCTTTCTGCAGTATCTGGAAGTGGACATTTCGAGCGCTTTCAGGCCTATGGTGAACAAGGAAATATCTTCCCATGCAAACTAGACAGAAGCATTCGCAGAAACTTGTTTGTGATGTGTGTCCTCAACTCACAGAGTTGAACATTTCGTTTGACAGAGCAGTTTGGAAACACGATTTTTGTAGAATCTGCAAGTGGATATTTGGATGGCTTTGTGGATTTCGTTGGAAACGGGAGTATCTTCATAGAAAACCTAGACAGTAACATTCTCAGAAACGGCTTTGTGATATCCGTATTCACGTCACAGAGTTGAACATTCCCTTTCATAGAGCAGGTTTGAAACACCCTTTCTGAAGTATCTGGATGTGGGCACTTGGAGCTCTTGGACGCTTATGGTGAAAAAGGAAATATCGTCCCATCAAACCTAGACAGAAGCATTCTCACAAACTGCTTTGTGACGTATGTCTTCAACTAACAGAGTTGAACATTTCTATTCACAGAGCAGTTTTGAAAGACTCTTTTGGAGTATCTGCTAGTGGATATTTGGAGAGCTTTAAGGATTTCATTGGAAACCGGAATATCTTCAGGTAAAATCTAGACAGAGGCATTCTCAGAAACTTCTTCGTAATGTGTGTCCTCAACTAACAGTGTACAACCTATCTTTTGATACAGCACGTTGGAAACACTCTTTTTATAGAATCTGCAAGTGGATAGTTGGATAGCTCTAACGATTTCGTTGGAAACGGGAATACCTTCATATAAAATCTAGACAGTGGCACTCTCAGAAACTGCTTTGTGATATCTGCATTCAAGCCACAGAGTTGAACATTTCCCTTCCTAAAGCAGGTTTGAAACACTCTTTCTGTCGTATCTGGAAGTGGACATTTGGAGCACTTTGACGCCTTTGGTGAAAAAGGAAATGTCTTCCCATCAAAACTAGACAGAAGCTTTCTAAGAAACATTTTTGGGATATATGTACTCAACTAACAGAGTTGAACCTTTCTCTTTATAGATCAGTTTTGGAAAGCTCTTTATGTGGAATCTGCAGATGGATATTCGGATAGCTCTGAGGATTTCGTTGGAGACGGGAATACATAAAGAAAGTAGACAGCAGCATTCTCGGGAGATTCTTTGTGATGTTTGCTTTGAAGTCACAGAGTTGAATATTCCCTTCAATAGAGCAGGTTTGAAACACTCTTTCCGTAGTATCTGGAAGTGGACATTTCGATCGATTTCAGGCCTATGTTGAAAAAGGAAATATCTTAACATAAAAACTAGACAGAAGCATTCTCAGAAACGTCTTTGTGATGTGTGTCCTCAACTAACAGAGTTCAACCTTTCTTATGATACAGCAGTTGGGAAACACTCTTTTTATAGAATTTGCAAGTTGATACATGGATAGCCCTAACTATTTCGTTGGAAACGGGAATATCTTCACATAAAACCTAGACAGAAGCACTCTCAGAAACTACTTTGTGATATCTGCATTGATATCTGAGAGTTGAATATTCCCTTTCTAAGGGAAGGCTTGAAAGCGTCTTTTCGTGGAATCTGCGGGAGGATATTTGGATAGCTTTGAGGGTTACGTTGGAAACGGGATTACATATACAAAGTAGACAGCAGCATTCTCAGAAGCTTCTTTATGATGTTTGCGTTCAAGTCACAGAGTTGAACGTTCCCTTTCATAGAGCAGGTTTCAAACCCTCTTTCTGCAGTATCTGGAAGTGGACATTTCGAGCGCTTTCAGGCCTATGGTGAACAAGGAAATATCTTCCCATGCAAACTAGACAGAAGCATTCGCAGAAACTTGTTTCTGATGTGTGTCCTCAATTCACGGAGTTGAATATTTCGTTTGACAGAGCAGTTCGGAAACACGATTTTTGTAGAATCTTCAAGTGGATATTTGGATGGCTTTGTGGATTTCGTTGGAAACGGGAGTATCTTCATAGACAACCTAGACAGTAACATGCTCAGAAACTGTTTTGTGATATCTGCATTCACGTCACAGTGTTGAACATTCCCTTTCATAGAGCAGGTTTGAAACACACTTTCTGTAGTATCTGGATGTGGGCACTTGGAGCGCTTGGACGCTTGTGGTGAAAAAGGACATATCGTCCCATAAAAACTGGACAGAAGCATTCGCACAAACTGCTTTGTGACGTATGTCTTCAACTAACAGAGTTGAAAATTTCTATTTACAGAGCAGTTTTGAAAGACTCTTTTGGAGTATCTCCTAGTGGATATTTGGAGAGCTTTAAGGATTTCATTGGAAACCGGAATATCTTCAGGTAAAATCTGGACAGAGGCATTCTCAGAAACTTCTTCGTAATGTGTGTCCTCAACTAACAGTGTACAACCTATCTTTTGATACAGCACGTTGGAAACACTCTTTTTATAGAATCTGCAAGTGGATATTTGGATAGCTCTAACGATTTCGTTGGAAACGGGAATACCTTCATATAAAATCTAGACAGCGGCACTCTCAGAAACTGCTTTGTGATATCTGCATTCAAGCCACAGAGTTGAACATTTCCCTTCCTAAAGCAGGTTTGAAACACTCTTTTTGTCGTATCTGGAAGTGGACATTTGGAGCACTTTGACGCTTTGGTGAAAAAGGAAATGTCTTCCCATCAAAACTAGACAGAAGCATTCTAAGAAACATTTTTGGGATATATGTACTCAACTAACAGAGTTGAACCTTTCTCTTTATAGATCAGTTTTGGAAAGCTCTTTATGTGGAATCTGCAAATGGATATTCGGATAGCTCTGAGGATTTCGTTGGAGACGGGAATACATAAAGAAAGTAGACAGCAGCAATCTCAGGAGATTCTTTGTGATGTTTGCTTTTAAGTCACAGAGTTGAATATTCCCTTCAATAGAGCAGGTTTGAAACACTCTTTCTGTAGTATCTGGAAGTGGACATTTCGATCGATTTCAGGCCTATGTTGAAAAAGGAAATACCTTAACATAAAAACTAGACAGAAGCATTCTCAGAAACGTCTTTGTGATGTGTGTCCTCAACTAACAGAGTTCAACCTTTCTTATGATACAGCAGTTTGGAAACACTCTTTTTATAGAATTTGCAAGTTGATACATGCATAGCCCTAACTATTTCGTTGGAAACGGGAATATCTTCATATAAAACCTAGACAGAAACACTCTCAGAAACTACTTTGTGATATCTGCATTGATATCAGAGAGTTGAATATTCCCTTTCTAAGGGCAGGTTTGAAAGCGTCTTTTCGTGGAATCTGCAGGAGGATATTTGGATAGCTTTGAGGATTACGTTGGAAACGGGATTACATATACAAAGTAGACAGCAGCATTCTCAGAAGCTGCTTTATGATGTTTGCTATCAAGTCACAGAGTTGAACGTTCCCTTTCATAGAGCAGGTTTCAAACCCTCTTTCTGCAGTATCTGGAAGTGGACATTTCGAGCGCTGTCAGGCCTATGGTGAACAAGGAAATATCTTCCCATGCAAACTAGACAGAAGCATTCGCAGAAACTTGTTTGTGATGTGTGTCCTCAACTCACAGAGTTGAACATTTCGTTTGACAGAGCAGTTTGGAAACACGATTTTTGTAGAATCTGCAAGTGGATATTTGGATGGCTTTGTGGATTTCGTTGGAAACGGGAGTATCCTTCATAGACAACCTAGACAGTAACATTCTCAGAAACGGCTTTGTGATATCCGCATTCACGTCACAGAGTTGAACATTCCCTCTCATAGAGCAGGCTTGAAACACACATTCTGTAGTATCTGGATGTGGGCACTTGGAGCGTTTGGACGCTTATGCTGAAAAAGAAAATATCGTCCCATAAAAACTAGACAGAAGCATTCTCACAAACTGCTTTGTGACGTATGTCTTCAACTAACAGAGTTGAACATTTCTATTCACAGAGCAGTTTTGAAAGACTCTTTTGGAGTATCTGCTAGTGGATATTTGGAGAGCTTTAAGGATTTCATTGGAAACCAGAATATCTTCAGGTAAAATCTAGACAGAGGCATTCTCAGAAACTTCTTTGTAATGTGTGTCCTCAACTAACAGTGTACAACCTATCTTTTGATAGCACGTTGGAAACACTCTTTTTATAGAATCTGCAAGTGGATATTTGGATAGCTCTAACGATTTCGTTGGAAACGGGAATACCTTCATAAAAAATCTAGACAGTGGCACTCTCAGAAACTGCTTTGTGATATCTGCATTCAAGCCACAGAGTTGAACATTTCCCTTCCTAAAGCAGGTTTGAAACACTCTTTTTGTCGTATCTGGAAGTGGACATTTGGAGCACTTTGACGCCTTTGGTGAAAAAGGAAATGTCTTCCCATGAAAACTAGACAGAAGCATTCTAAGAAACACTTTTGTGATATGTGTACTCAACTAACAGAGTTGAACCTTTCTCTTTATAGATCAGTTTTGGAAAGCTCTTTATGTGGAATCTGCAGATGGATATTCGGATAGCTCTGAGGATTTCGTTGGAGACGGGAATACATAAAGAAAGTAGACAGCAGCATTCTCGGGAGATTCTTTGTGATGTTTGCTTTTCAGTCACAGAGTTGAATATTCCCTTCAATAGAGCAGGTTTGAAACACTCTTTCTGTAGTATCTGGAAGTGGACATTTCGATCGATTTCAGGCCTATGTTGAAAAAGGAAATATCTTAACATAAAAACTAGACAGAAGCATTCTCAGAAACGTCTTTGTGATGTGTGTCCTCAACTAACAGAGTTCAACCTTTCTTATGATACAGCAGTTTGGAAACACTCTTTTTATAGAATTTGCAAGTTGATACATGGATAGCCCTAACTATTTCGTTGGAAACGGGAATATCTTCATATAAAACCTAGACAGAAGCACTCTCAGAAACTACTTTGTGATATCTGCATTGATATCAGAGAGTTGAATATTCCCTTTCTAAGGGCAGGCTTGAAAGCGTCTTTTTGTGGAATCTGCAGGAGGATATTTGGATAGCTTGGAGGGTTACGTTGGAAACGGGATTACATATACAAAGTAGACAGCAGCATTCTCAGAAGCTTCTTTATGATGTTTGCGTTCAAGTCACAGATTTGAACATTCCCTTTCATAGAGCAGGTTTCAAACCCTCTTTCTGCAGTATCTGGAAGTGGACATTTCGAGCGCTTTCAGGCCTATGGTGAACAAGGAAATATCTTCCCATGCAAACTAGACAGAAGCATTCGCAGAAACTTGTTTGTGATGTGTGTCCTCAACTCACGGGAGTTGAACATTTCGTTTGACAGAGCAGTTTGGAAACACGATTTTTGTAGAATCTGCAAGTGGATATTTGGATGGCTTTGTGGATTTCGTTGGAAACGGGAGTATCTTCATAGACAACCTAGACAGTAACATTCTCAGAAACGGCTTTGTGATATCCGCATTCACGTCACAGAGTTGAACATTCCCTCTCATAGAGCAGGCTTGAAACACACTTTCTGTAGTATCTGGATGTGGGCACTTGGAGCGCTTGGACGCTTATGGTGAAAAAGGAAATATCGTCCCATAAAAACTAGACAGAAGCATTCTCACAAACTGCTTTGAGACGTATGTCGTCAGCTAACAGAGTTGAACATTTCTATTCACAGAGCAGTTTTGAAAGACTCTTTTGGAGTATCTGCTAGTGGATATTTGGAGAGATTTAAGGATTTCACCGGAAACCGGAATATCTTCAGGTAAAATCTAGACAGAGGCATTCTCAGAAACTTCTTTGTAATGTCTGTCCTCAACCAACAGTGTACAACCTATCTTTTGATACAGCACATTGGAAACACTCTTTTTATAGAATCTGCAAGTGGATATTTGGATAGCTGTAACGATTTCGTTGGAAACGGGAATACCTTCATATAAAATCTAGACAGTGGCACTCTCAGAAACTGCTTTGTGACATCTGCATTCAAGCCACAGAGTTGAACATTTCCCTTCCTAAAGCAGGTTTGAAACACTCTTTCTGTCGTATCTGGAAGTGGACATTTGGAGCACTTTGACGCCTTTGGTGAAAAAGGAAATGTCTTCCCATCAAAACTAGACAGAAGCATTCTAAGAAACATTTTTGGGATATATGTACTCAACTAACAGAGTTGAACCTTTCTCTTTATAGATCAGTTTTGGAAAGCTCTTTATGTGGAATCTGCAGATGGATATTCGTATAGCTCTGAGGATTTCGTTGGAGACGGGAATACATAAAGAAAGTAGACAGCAGTATTCTCAGGAGATACTTTGTGATGTTTGCTTTTAAGTCACAGAGTTGAATATTCCCTTCAATAGAGCAGGTTTGAAACACTCTTTCTGTAGTATCTGGAAGTGGACATTTCGATCGATTTCAGGCCTATGTTGAAAAAGGAAATACCTTAACATAAAAACTAGACAGAAACATTCTCAGAAACGTCTTTGTGATGTGTGTCCTCAACTAACAGAGTTCAACCTTTCTTATGATACAGCAGTTTGGAAACACTCTTTTTATAGAATTTGCAAGTTGATACATGGATAGCCCTAACTATTTCGTTGGAAACGGGAATATCTTCATATAAAACCTAGGCAGAAGCACTCTCAGAAACTACTTTGTGATATCTGCATTGATATCAGAGAGTTGAATATTCCCTTTCTAAGGGCAGGCTTGAAAGCGTCTTTTCGTGGAATCTGCAGGAGGATATTTGGATAGCTTTGAGGGTTACGTTGGAAACGGGATTACATGTACAAAGCAGACAGCAGCATTCTCAGAAGCTTCTTTATGATGTTTGCGTTCAAGTCACAGAGTTGAACGTTCCCTTTCATAGAGCAGGTTTCAAACCCTCTTTCTGCAGTATCTGGAAGTGGACATTTCGAGCGCTTTCAGGCCTATGGTGAACAAGGAAATATCTTCCCATGCAAACTAGACAGAAGCATTCGCAGAAACTTGTTTGTGATGTGTGTCCTCAACTCACAGAGTTGAACATTTCGTTTGACAGAGCAGTTTGGAAACACGATTTTTGCAGAATCTGCAAGTGGATATTTGGATGGCTTTGTGGATTTCGTTGGAAACGGGAGTATCTTCATAGACAACCTAGACAGTAACATGCTCAGAAACTGTTTTGTGATATCTGCATTCACGTCACAGAGTTGAACATTCCCTTTCATAGAGCAGGTTTGAAACACACTTTCTGTAGTATCTGGATGTGGGCACTTGGAGCTCTTGGACGCTTATGGTGAAAAAGGACATATCGTCCCATAAAAACTGGACAGAAGCATTCTCACAAACTGCTTTGAGACGTATGTCGTCAGCTAACAGAGTTGAACATTTCTATTCACAGAGCAGTTTTGAAAGACTCTTTTGGAGTATCTGCTAGTGGATATTTGGAGAGCTTTAAGGATTTCACCGGAAACTGGAATATCTTCAGGTAAAATCTAGACAGAGGCATTCTCAGAAACTTCTTTGTAATGTGTGTCCTCAACTAACAGTGTACAACCTATCTTTTGATACAGCACGTTGGAAACACTCTTTTTATAGAATCTGCAAGTGGATATTTGGATAGCTCTAACGATTTCGTTGGAAACGGGAATACCTTCATAAAAAATCTAGACAGTGGCACTCTCAGAAACTGCTTTGTGATATCTGCATTCAAGCCACAGAGTTGAACATTTCCCTTCCTAAAGCAGGTTTGAAACACTCTTTCTGTCGTATCTGGAAGTGGACATTTGGAGCACTTTGACGCCTTTGGTGAAAAAGGAAATGTCTTCCCATCAAAACTAGACAGAAGCATTCTAAGAAACATTTTTGGGATATAAGTACTCAACTAACAGAGTTGAACCTTTCTCTTTATAGATCAGTTTTGGAAAGCTCTTTATGTGGAATCTGCAGATGGATATTCGGATAGCTCTGAGGATTTCTTTGGAGACGGGAATACATAAAGAAACTAGACAGCAGCATTCTCAGGAGATTCTTTGTGATGTTTGCTTTTAAGTCACAGAGTTGAATATTCCCTTCAATAGAGCAGGTTTGAAACACTCTTTCTGTAGTATCTGGAAGTGGACATTTCGATCGATTTCAGGCCTATGTTGAAAAAGGAAATACCTTAACATAAAAACTAGACAGAAACATTCTCAGAAACGTCTTTGTGATGTGTGTCCTCAACTAACAGAGTTCAGCCTTTCTTATGATACAGCAGTTTGGAAACACTCTTTTTATAGAATTTGCAAGTTGATACATGGATAGCCCTAACTATTTCGTTGCAAACGGGAATATCTTCATATAAAACCTAGACAGAAGCACTCTCAGAAACTACTTTGTGTTATCTGCATTGATATCAGAGAGTTGAATATTCCCTTTCTAAGGGCAGGCTTGAAAGCGTCTTTTCGTGGAATCTGCAGGAGGATATTTGGATAGCTTTGAGGGTTACGTTGGAAACGGGATTACATATACAAAGTAGACAGCAGCATTCTCAGAAGCTTCTTTATGATGTTTGGGTTTAAGTCACAGAGTTGAACGTTCCCTTTCATAGAGCAGGTTTCAAACCCTCTTTCTGCAGTATCTGGAAGTGGACATTTCGAGCGCTTTCAGGCCCGTGGTGAGCAAGGAAATATCTTCCCATGCAAACTAGACAGAAGCATTCGCAGAAACTTGTTTGTGATGTGTGTCCTCAACTCACAGAGTTGAACATTTCGTTTGACAGAGCAGTTTGGAAACACGATTTTTGTAGAATCTGCAAGTGGATATTTGGATGGCTTTGTGGATTTCGTTGGAAACGGGAGTATCTTCATAGAAAACCTAGACAGTAACATGCTCAGAAACTGCTTTGTGATATCTGCATTCACGTCACAGAGTTGAACATTCCCTTTCATAGAGCAGGTTTGAAACACACTTTCTGTAGTATCTGGATGTGGGCACTTGGAGCGCTTGGACGCTTATGGTGAAAAAGGACATATCGTCCCATAAAAACTGGACAGAAGCATTCTCACAAACTGCTTTGTGACGTATGTCTTCAACTAACAGAGTTGAACATTTCTATTCACAGAGCAGTTTTGAAAGACTCTTTTGGAGTATCTGCTAGTGGATATTTGGAGAGCTTTAAGGATTTCATTGGAAACCGGAATATCTTCAGGTAAAATCTAGACAGAGGCATTCTCAGAAACTTCTTTGTAATGTGTGTCCTCAACTAACAGTGTACAACCTATCTTTTGATACAGCACGTTGGAAACACTCTTTTTATAGAATCTGCAAGTGGATATTTGGATAGCTCTAACGATTTCGTTGGAAACGGGAATACCTTCATATAAAATCCTAGACAGTGGCACTCTCAGAAACTGCTTTGTGATATCTGCATTCAAGCCACAGAGTTGAACATTTCCCTTCCTAAAGCAGGTTTGAAACACTCTTTTTGTCGTATCTGGAAGTGGACATTTGGAGCACTTTGACGCCTTTGGTGAAAAAGGAAATGTCTTCCCATGAAAACTAGACAGAAGCATTCTAAGAAACATTTTTGGGATATATGTACTCAACTAACAGAGTTGAACCTTTCTCTTTATAGATCAGTTTTGGAAAGCTCTTTATGTGGAATCTGCAGATGGATATTCGGATAGCTCTGAGGATTTCGTTGGAGACGGGAATACATGAAGAAAGTAGACAGCAGCATTCTCAGGAGATTCTTTGTGATGTTTGCTTTTAAGTCACAGAGTTGAATATTCCCTTCAATAGAGCAGGTTTGAAACACTCTTTCTGTAGTATCTGGAAGTGGACATTTCGATCGATTTCAGGCCTATTTTGAAAAAGGAAATACCTTAACATAAAAACTAGACAGAAGCATTCTCAGAAACGTCTTTGTGATGTGTGTCCTCAACTAACAGAGTTCAACCTTTCTTATGATACAGCAGTTGGGAAACACTCTTTTTATAGAATTTGCAAGTTGATACATGGATAGCCCTAACTATTTCGTTGGAAACGGGAATATCTTTACATGAAACCTAGACAGAAGCACTCTCAGAAACTACTTTGTGATATCTGCATTGATATCAGAGAGTTGAATATTCCTTTTCTAAGGGCAGGCTTGAAAGCGTCTTTTCGTGGAATCTGCAGGAGGATATTTGGATAGCTTGGAGGGTTACGTTGGAAACGGGATTACATATACAAAGTAGACAGCAGCATTCTCAGAAGCTTCTTTATGATGTTTGCTTTCAAGTCACACAGTTGAACGTTCCCTTTCATAGAGCAGGTTTGAAACCCTCTTTCTGCAGTATCTGGAAGTGGACATTTCGAGCGCTTTCAGGCCTATGGTGAACAAGGAAATATCTTCCCATGCAAACTAGACAGAAGCATTCGCAGAAACTTGTTTGTGATGTGTGTCCTCAACTCACGGAGTTGAACATTTCGTTTGACAGAGCAGTTTGGAAACACGATTTTTGTAGAATCTGCAAGTGGATATTTGGATGGCTTTGTGGATTTCGTTGGAAACGGGAGTATCTTCATAGACAACCTAGACAGTAACATTCTCAGAAACGGCTTTGTGATATCCGCATTCACGTCACAGAGTTGAACATTCCCTTTCATAGAGCAGGTTTGAAACACCCTTTCTGAAGTATCTGGATGTGGGCACTTGGAGCTCTTGGACGCTTATGGTGAAAAAGGAAATATCGTCCCATAAAACCTAGACAGAAGCATTCTCACAAACTGCTTTGTGACGTATGTCTTCAACTAACAGAGTTGAACATTTCTATTCACAGAGCAGTTTTGAAAGACTCTTTTGGAGTATCTGCTAGTGGATATTTGGAGAGCTTTAAGGATTTCATTGGAAACCGGAATATCTTCAGGTAAAATCTAGACAGAGGCATTCTCAGAAACTTCTTTGTAATGTGTGTCCTCAACTAACAGTGTACAACCTATCTTTTGATACAGCACGTTGGAAACACTCTTTTTATAGAATCTGCAAGTGGATATTTGGATAGCTCTAACGATTTCGTTGGAAACGGGAATCCCTTCATATAAAATCTAGACAGTGGCACTCGCAGAAACTGCTTTGTGATATCTGCATTCAAGCCACAGAGTTGAACATTTCCCTTCCTAAAGCAGGTTTGAAACACTCTTTCTGTCGTATCTGGAAGTGGACATTTGGAGCACTTTGACGCCTTTGGTGAAAAAGGAAATGTCTTCCCATCAAAACTAGACAGAAGCATTCTAAGAAACATTTTTGGGATATATGTACTCAACTAACAGAGTTGAACCTTTCTCTTTATAGATCAGTTTTGGAAAGCTCTTTATGTGGAATCTGCAGATGGATATTCGTATAGCTCTGAGGATTTCGTTGGAGGCGGGAATACATAAAGAAAGTAGACAGCAGCAATCTCAGGAGATTCTTTGTGATGTTTGCTTTTAAGTCACAGAGTTGAATATTCCCTTCAATAGAGCAGGTTTGAAACACTCTTTCTGTAGTATCTGGAAGTGGACATTTCGATCGATTTCAGGCCTATGTTGAAAAAGGAAATACCTTAACATAAAAACTAGACAGAAGCATTCTCAGAAACGTCTTTGTGATGTGTGTCCTCAACTAACAGAGTTCAACCTTTCTTATGATACAGCAGTTGGGAAACACCCTTTTTATAGAATTTGCAAGCTGATACATGGATAGCCCTAACTATTTCGTTGGAAACGGGAATATCTTCACATAAAACCTAGACAGAAGCACTCTCAGAATCTACTTTGTGATATCTGCATTGATAACAGAGAGATGAATATTCCCTTTCTAAGGGCAGGCTTGAAAGCGTCTTTTTGTGGAATCTGCAGGAGGATATTTGGATAGCTTGGAGGGTTACGTTGGAAACGGGATTACATATACAAAGTAGACAGCAGCATTCTCAGAAGCTTCTTTATGATGTTTGCGTTTAAGTCACAGAGTTGAACGTTCCCTTTCACAGAGCAGGTTTCAAACCCTCTTTCTGCAGTATCTGGAATTGGACATTTCGAGCGCTTTCAGGCCTATGGTGAACAAGGAAATATCTTCCCATGCAAACTAGACAGA